>NC_000009.12:100796309-100947824 GCF_000001405.40 Homo sapiens
TTTCCTGAAATGTTCTGTTCATGTGTCCAAATTACTTTTACCCTCATTTTTCTTTGGATTTTCTCAATTGGGTGGGCCCCAGTGTTAGACCTCAGCTAGAACTCAGCAACATGTACCCAAGGGTTGGGAAGAAAATAGTTACAACTGGCATATAGCAAATCTATCATTTGAAGTATTTATTTATTTATATTTTTGAAATAGCTGTATTACTCAACTCTCTTATTTTAGTATTTCAGTTGATGGTCTTAGATTTTTTTCAGATAGATATTTTTAATTATATGCAAGTAAGGATAAAGTCTCTCCTGTTTCTTAATATTATGATTTTTTGTTTTTTATTTCTAGTGGTCTCATTTAACTGTCTAAAACTACCAGAAGGATATTAAAATATTAGTTGTGATGCTGGCCATTTTTATCTCCTTCTTTATATTAATCAAAATATTCTTAGTGTTTTATATTTAAGTATTGTATTTCTGATTAATTTGGTTATAGATATTCCATATCAAATTAAAGTATATCTTTCTATTTCTAGGACATATACTTAAAATTTTATCAATTGCTTTAAAAAAATCTATTGAGGCAATCAGATGGCTTTCTCCTTTGACCCACTAATGTGATGAATTATAGATTTCCTAATATTGAGCCACAATTGCATTTATTCCTGGAATGAAGCCTATTTTATCATGGCGTATTAGTCCTTTAATATCCTGGCAGACTTGATTTTCTTATATTTTATTAATGATATATTTATAGTTATGATTGCCTAGGAGACTGAGAGTTGACCTCACAGCTGGTATGCCATGGCCATCTCTTTCTTCTGACCACTGAAGCTCAGGGCTGGGCTGGGGAGGCTGTTTGTCAATTTTTCCTTGGATTCTGGCCACTTTCTTCCGACAGATTGTGTTCCATTTTTGCTTTATTTTATTCTCATCTACTGTCAATGTAGCAGAATTTTCTTGAAACTTCACTCCCGGTTTCTTCTAATTCAGATTGCTCTTTTGTTTCCTTTCTTTTCTATTTTCCTTTAGATTTTACTCATCAGAAATTGGGAAAGGGTGGGGTAGGTAAAACCCATTTTATTAATCTAAAAGCCCCTGATCTTATTCATCAAGTCCAGGAGTGACAAGCCAAAAAAAAACATAGTATTTTCATTAAATTCACATTTAAGACTGTAGCATTTCTAAAATCAGGTATTAGCTTTCAAAATTTTCTTGATGGTATCCTCTGCCAGGGAGAAACAAGTATCACTGAACTTTTTCCCTAGGAGGTGAGAATAGCTCAATGGTTGGCCTAACATTGCAGCTGAGGAAGCTGGCATGGCTCTTGAGTGCTAAGTCTTGTGCCTGGAGTAGTGTTTTCTTTGGAGATGGGGTGTTGCTGTGTTGCTCAGGCTGGTCTTGAATTACTGGGCTCAAGCAATTCTCCTGCCACAGCCTCCCAAGTAGCTGGGATTATAGGTACATGCCATTGTGCCCAGCTTTGGAGTAGTATTTTTAATTTTAAGACTTGTTTGTGGGCTGGGGGCAATGGCTTATGCCTGTACTCACAGCACTTTGGGAGGCCAAGGCAGGTGGATCACCTGAAGTCAGGAGTTCGAGACCAGGCAGGCCCAACGTGGTGAAACCCCATCTCTACTAAAAAATATTAAAAAATTAGCCGGGTGTGGTGGTGGGTGCCTGTAATCCCAGCTACTCACAAGGCTGAGGCAGAAGAATTGCTTGAACCCGGGAGGCGGAGGTTGCAGTGAGCCGAGATCACGCCAGTGCACTCCAGCCTGGGCAAAAAGAGTAAGACTCTGTCTCAAAAAAAAAAAAAAAAAAAAAAAAAAAAGACTTTTTTGTAAGTGCAATAGAAGCCTTTTGTAACTCTGGTAATTGGAATAAGGCTCACATTTTTGTTTAAGATAAAGAGAATATACATTCTTCTCAGCACCACACCACACTTACTCCAAAACTGACCACATAGTTGGAAGTAAAGCACTCCTCAGCAAATGTAAAAGAACAGAAATTACAACAAACTGTCTCTCAGACCACAGTGCAATCAAACTAGAACTCAGGATTAAGAAACTCACTGAAAACTGCTCAACTACATGGAAACTGAACAACCTGCTCCTGAATGACTACTGGGTACATAATGAAATGAAGGCAGAAATAAAGACGTTCTTTGAAACCAACGACAACAAAGACACAACATACCAGAATCTCTGGGACACATTTAAAGCAGTGTGTAGAGGGAAATTTATAGCACTAAATGCCCACAAGAGAAAGCAGGAAAGATCTAAAATTGACACCCTAACATCACAATTAAAAGAACTAGAGAAGTAAGAGCAAACACATTCAAAAGCTAGCAGAAGACAAGAAATAACTAAGATCAGAGCAGAACTGAAGGAGATAGAGACACAAAAATCTCTTCAAAAAATCAATGAATCCAGGAGCTGGTTTTTTTGAAAAGATCAACAAAATTGATAGACCACTAGCAAGACTAATAAAGAAGAAAAGAGAGAAGAATCAAATAGACACAATAAAAAATGATAAAGGGGATATCACCACCGATCCCACAGAAATACAAACTACCATCAGAAAATACTATAAACACCTCTACGCAAATAAACTAGAAAATCTAGAAGAAATGGGTAAATTCCTCGATGCATACACCCTCCCAAGACTAAACCAGGAAGAAGTTGAATCTCTGAATAGACCAATAACAGGCTCTGAAATTGAGGTAATAATTAATAGCTTACCAACCAAAAAAAGTCCAGGACCAGACAGATTCACAGCCGAATTCTACCAGAGGTACAAGGAGGAACTGGTACCATTCCTTCTGAAACTATTCCAATCAATAGAAAAAGAGGGAATCCTCCCTAACTCATTTTATGAGGCCAGCATCATCCTGATACCAAAGCCTGGCACAGACACAACAAAAAAAGAGAATTTTAGACCAATATCCCTGATGAACATCAACACAAAAATCCTCAATAAAATACTGGCAAACTGAATCCAGCAGCACATCAAAAAGCTTATCCACCATGATCAAGTGGGCTTCATCCCTGGGATGCAAGGCTGGTTCAACATACGCAAATCAATAAAAGTAATCCCTCATATGAACAGAACCAAAGACAAAAACCACATGATTATCTCAATAGATGCAGAAAAGGCTTTCAACAAAATTCAACAGCCCTTCATGCTAAAAACTCTCAATAAACTAGGTATTGACGGGACGTGTCTCAAAATAATAAGAGCTATTTATGACAAACCCACAGCCAATATCATACTGAATGGGCAAAAACTGAAAGCATTCCCTTTGAAAACTGGCACAAGACAGGGATGCCCTCTCTCACCACTCCCATTCAACATAGTGTTGGAAGTTCTGGCCAGGGCAATCAGGCAGGAGAAGGAAATAAAGGGTATTCAATTAGGAAAAGAGGAAGTCAAGTTATCCCTGTTTGCAGATGACATGACTGTATATCTAGAAAACCCCATCGTCTCCGCCCAAAATCTCCTTAAGCTGATAAGCAACTTCAGCAAAGTCTCAGGATACAAAATCAATGTACAAAAATCACAAGCATTCTTATACACCAATAACAGACAAACAGAGAGCCAAATCATGAGTGAACTCCCATTCACAATTGTTTCAAAGAGAATAAAATAGCTAGGAATCCAACTTACAAGGGATGTGAAGGACCTCTTCAAGTAGAACTACAAACCACTGCTCAACAAAATAAAAGAGGATACAAACAAGTGGAAGAACATTCCATGCTCATGGATAGGAAGAATCAATATCGTGAAAATGGCCAAACTGCCCAAGGTAATTTATAGATTCAATGCCATCCCCATCAAGCTACCAGTGACTTTCTTCACAGAATTGGAAAAAGCTACTTTAAAGTTCATATGGAACCAAAAAAGAGCCCACATTGCCAAGTCAATCCTAAGCCAAAAGAACAAAGCTGGAGGCATCACACTACCTGACTTCAAACTATACTACAAGGCTACAGTAACCAAAACAGCATGGTACTGGTACCAAAACAGAGATATAGACCAATGGAACAGAACAGAGCCCTCAGAAATAATACCACACATCTACAACTATCTGATCTTTGACAAACCTGACAAAAACAAGAAATGGGGAAAGGATTCCCTATTTAACAAATGGTGCTGGGAAAACTGGCTAGCCATATGTAGAAAGCTGAAACTGAATCCCTTCCTTACACCTTATACAAAAATTAATTCAAGATGGATTAAAGACTTAAATATTAGACCTAAAACCATAGAAACCCTAGAAGAAAACCTAGACAATACCATTCAGGACATAGGCATGGGCAAGGACTTCATGTCTAAAACACCAAAAGCAATGGCAACAAAAGCCAAAATTGACAAATGGGATCTAATTAAACTAAAGAGCTTCTGCACAGCAAAAGAAAATACCATCAGAGTGGACAGGCAACCTACAGAATGAGAGAAATTTTTTGCAATCTTCCCATGTGACTAACATGCAGAATCTACAAAGAACTCAAACAGATGTACAAGAAAAAAACAAACAACCCCATCAACAAGTGGGCGAAGGATATGAACAGACACTTCTCAAAAGAAGACATTTATGCAGCCAACAGACACATGAAAAAATGTTCATCATCACTGGCCATCAGAGAAATGCAAATCAAAACTACAGTGAGATACCATCTCACACCAGTTAGAATGGCGATCATTAAAAAGTTAGGAAACCACAGGTGCTGGAGAGGATGTGGAGAAATAGGAACACTTTTACACTGTTGGTGGGACTGTAAACTAGTTCAACCACTGTGGAAGACAGTGTGGCGATTCATCAGGGATCTAGAACTAGAAATACCATTTGACCCAGCCATCCCATTACTGGGTATATACCCAAAGGATTATAAATCATGCTGTCATAAAGACACATGCACACGTATGTTTATTGCAGCACTATTCACAATAGCAAAGACCTGGAACTAACCCAAATGTCCAACAATGATAGGCTGGATTAAGAAAATGTGGCACATATACACCATGGAATACTATGCAGCCATAAAAAAGGATGAGTTTATGTCCTTTGTAGGGACATGGATGAAGCTGGAAACCATCATTCTCAGCAAACTATCGCAAGGACAAAAAACCAAACACTGCATGTTCTCACTCATAGGTGGGAATTGAACAATTAGAACGCTTGGACACAGGAAGGGGGACATCACACACCAGGGCCTGTTGTGAGGTGGGGGGCGGGGGGAGGGATAGCATTAGGAGATATACCTAATGTAAATGATGAGTTAATGGGTGCAACACACCAACATGGCACGTGTATACACATGTAAAAAACCTGCACGTTGTGCACATGTACCCTAGAACTTAAAGGATAATAAAATAAAAAAAAATAGAGTTCTATCTGGTTTTATATGCTGTAGTATTGTGCTTTACACAATACTTTCCGAACCCTGAGTAAACTTGCTATTAAGCCTTGAAATATCTGGAAGAGCATAAAAATACAATACTCATCAAGAACACAATTATACCAGTAGTCAGCTATAATCACCAAGGGTGTTCAACGCTATTGCTAAATAACACTTTACCATCTGCATGGTTCACCTGGGAAATGGCCCATACAGAGTCCACTTTGGACATCCCACATGTGGGGTCTGCACACTTCTCTGCAGGATCTCCCTTCTTTTTCCTTTTCTCTCTCCTAGCCTTCTGGCTCCTGCTTTCTTCAATTGGTGCTTCTTGTAGTCAAGGCCAGAGAGGCAAATCCTAGCATCCCTCCTGGGAATGGTATTGGGGACCTTTCTGGCCACGGCTTTGGGGTTCTTTAGGATAGATCATCAATTTGACAAATAAAGCTTTCTCTGCTTTCAATAATGTAAATGTACTGTTTATCAAAAGAAAGGTTTCTGTACCAGGAGTGAGTATCTGGAGGGATGAAGGATATAGAGACCCTTCCTGTCACATATTTCCGGATATGTGGGTCATTTTGACAGGGAACTTTACAGAGCATAGCAAGTCTGAATGGATAGATGTTTCACCCATGGGTCTCTGGAACCAGGGTGTTGAATTTGTTTCCCCATAGCCATTGGGTAACAGTCTAGACAGTAGTTTGAGGGCTTTTGTTTTTGTTGGTCCCTCTGTCCCTGGATGACCTTGGGCAAATGCATTTGCTTCTCCACCTGTAAAAGGAAGGTAATTGTGCTGTCTGCTCCATTCCAGAGCTGTTGGCAAGACGGATGTGAATGTGTCCATTAAGAGCTCTGAGCATCTTTGAGAAGGGTGGTTTGTAATTACAAGGTGTTACTATCACTGCTGCTGTTAGGTGCATGGAGATTGTGATAGCTGGAACTAAATCAGCTGCAGCTGCTTGTCTCTTACCTTCAGCCTTAATGCTTCCTATCTCTCACACAGCCTATAAGCAAATAAATACATATTTTTTCCCAAGTCACCCTGCCTTCAAATGAATCAGGGCTGACTCCTGCCTTACACCCTTGAACCTGGTTTCTTCGGTTGGGTGTGTAGTGCAGTGGATTGTTTTCATGGCCAGACAACCCCAGGCTTCACTGCTTTCCAGCAGAGTGACCTTGGACCTGTTACTTAACCTCTCTAAGGCTCAGTATCTTCACCGGTAATTTTGGGTTACTTACATCTATTGTATGAATTAAATGATATTAACTGTCCAAAACACTTGGCAAACAGAAGGTGCTCAATAAATGTTAGCATTTTGAAATTTCATTTTCTTTTATTCTCTCACTTTTTGGTCCTAGCACTAATGTGACATGTGCATTTCTATCTCAGCAACTTGCAGAGAGAAGATGGCATTGATGTTTTTTGTGCTTAGAATATATGGTATTATTTTGGAAAATTTTATTGTGAATTATTAAGTCTGCATTCTCAATGTCCTCAAAGTAATTTAAACAAAGCAAATGTATAAAAGTGTATTAGACAGGGTTCTCTAGAAGCACAGAACTAATAGGATAGATGTATATATGAAAGGGAGTTTATTAAGGAGAATTGACTCACACAATCACAAGGGAAAGTTTCACGATAGGCTGTCTGTAGGTTCAGGAGCAGGAAAGCCAGTAGTGGATCAGTCTGAGTCCCAAAACCTCAAAAACAGGGAGGCCAATGGTGCAGCCTTTGGTTTGTGGCCAAAGACCCGAGAGCCCTGGCAAACCACTGGTGTAAGTCCATGAGTTCAAAAGCTGAAGAATTTGGAGTCTGGTGTTCGAAGGCAGGAAGCATCCAGTGTGGTAGAAAGATGAAGGCTGGAAGACCCAGCAAGTCTAGTCCTTCCACGTTCTTCCTCTCTGCTTTATCCTAGCCATGCTGGCAGCTGATTAGATGGTGCCCACCCAGATTGAGGGTGGGTCTGCCTCCACTGACTCAAATGTTAACCTCCTTTGGCAACACCCCCACAGATATACCCAGGAACAATACTTTGCATCCTTCAATCCAATCAAGTTGACACTCAGTGTTAACCATCACAGCAAATACTCTGTGGCATTTATTTTCAATAGCTTGAGTGCCCTCACATGCTCTTAATAGAAAGCAAAAGCTGCGGAAGCTGGCCTGGCTGTTAGGAGGTGCTATTTAAAGCCTCAGTGGGACAAAAATGACAATTTTAAAATTGATTGTGGAGTGTGATGATGCCAAGTAGTAGCAGAAGCCCAGGAAACCTGTCACATGGCAAATGTGTTACCAAAAGCCTTGAGTCTACAGAGGTTTTAGAAGAGTTTTATTCACAGGGAGCTTTTGCCATATTAATCTCCAGATTTCACTTGTGCTGTGGATGGAACGTGCCACTGCAGAGGAATCTCAGGCTGCAAGCTGGGGATCTGGATAGGCGGGGTTTCCCCTGTGTAGAAATCTTTGCCAGGCTTCCAGCTGAGCTTAGCTACATGGCAGGTTTATGCCTGGGAATAAATGATTTCCTTGAGAAGTGGCTGTTTTTGCTGCACACAGTTGTTTTACAGCAGTTTGGAAGCCTGCTCTGCCTCTGACTAGCTTGTAGGGTAACATAGTCCCTGAATCTCAGTTTCACTGTAAAATGGGGATAGTGATACTGATCGTGTGGTACTTTAAAAAAAATTTGTGGCAAGGTATGTAAAGTTCCTACATTGGTGTTTGACCTATGGAAGGTATATGGATACATTTCTGCTGTTATCATTTTTGGTAAGATTAATACAAAAATAATCATTGTGGTAGGCAGAATAATGGCCCTCCAAAGATGTCAACATCCTAATCCCTGGAAACTGTGAATATGTTACTTTTCATGGCAAGAGGAACTTGGCGAATATCATTAAATTAAGAACATTTAAATTGGGAGATTATCCTGGATTATCTGGGTGGCCACAATCTTATCACAGGCCCCCTTAAAAGTGGAGAAACTTTTCCTGCTGTGGCCAGGGGAAAAGATGTGAGGACAGAGTAGAGTCAGAGACATGCTATATTGCTGGATTTGAAGATGGAAGGAGGGGGCCTAGAAGCCAAGGAATGTGGGTGGTCTCTAAAGGCTAGAAAAGGCAAGGAGATGATTCTCTCCTAGAGACTGTAGAAGGAACCAGCTCTACCAACCCCTTGATTTTAGTCCAGGGAGATCCATGTCAGACTTCTGAGACATAGAACTATAAGGGAATATATTTGTGTTGTTTTAAGCCACTAAGTTTGTGGTGATTTGTTATAGCAGCAATAGAAAACTAATACAGAATTAGAGACTGTCAAGAGTTTGTGCCATTGTAGAAAGGATGAGGCTCACAGTGCTCTGTATCTGGACAAGCTAGTAGGGTCTGTGCTCAATTCTAGTCCCTTTGAGCTCAGTAAGAGTCTTTGAAACCCTACCAGTTTCTCTTCTGGGCAAGAGATGTGGTTTGCTTCGTAAGAGCTGAAATGCTTTATTAGACTCAAAAGAATTTGAATCTAGTCTGAAAAAGTCACGTTACTGATATTTGAAAGTTTGGAATTACCATAATCACACAAATCTCTTGTTTCCACTGTGAATAAATAGCAATAGAGTTTTGCCTCATTTTAGGTTATCATTCTGTGGATTGAAAACAAAAAAACAGCCTAAAATTTGGAGTCAGTAGATGTGGCTCTGAGTCTCACTGTTCTGGAAAAATAAATCATATAATCTCCAATCTCGATTGTAGCATGGGGATGATAGCACCTGATTTATCTATCTGTTGTGTGAGTCAAAGGTAATGTGAGTGAAGATGCACTGAGAACTGGCCCTCTACACAAACGTCAGGTGTAATAATTATTATATTTATTATTAGTAGTATTATGTTGTCATAGAACCATGGAATGTTAGATCAAGGAAGGTCATTAGATGTCATTTAACCCACAAGCCTTGGTGAGGTTAAATAACTTAAAAATGTTCTCTTGGCTCTATAGTGTCCACTTTGAGACATGGCTTGAATAATCTTTGGGAAGGGGCCAGGCTGGGAGCTTGATCTCACTTAAATGGTACAGGCTGGGAGTGGGAAGGGATACAGTTGTAAGAATTAAGAGGCCAAAAGATCTGGTCATAGAATTGGCAATGAGTTGGGAGGGATTGGCAATGGGAAAGGATGGCCAGGTGGGGCTCAGTCATTTGGGGAAGTAAAGAGTAGAGTGGAATGAAGTGGCACCAGTTATGGAGAGGAGCCATTTGCTGAGTGGGTAATCAAAAATGGCCTTGTAGTTAGTGAAACTAGGAACATAACTTCGTGCTTCTGACTCAAGTCTTGTGTTCTGCTCAGTATATACAGCTGAATATTATCTTAAATTCAGTGCAAATTCCGTTTATATCTGAATATTAGTGCAAAGTTATTTAATTATCACTTGAAACTGCTTTATATGTGGCTTCTAATGATTCTTCACCTGGCTTTTTGAAGGGATAAAAGATGGACTTATTCTGAATTTTGTTCAAAGATTAAAGTATTGTGATCAGATTCCAATGAATGGCCTGCTTCATCAGGTCATTTATATGTGATAATTTCAAGTTCCCAGCACTTGAATCTGTAATCTATGGTCCTGAACAGTTCTGTCTTAATGTCCAGATATACCACAGATAGTAAGGCAAAAAACCCCCCATACAAACAAAAGTTCTTTACAGGGCAGTAGGAATTCTATATCATTTCTGGCTCTCACGGTCTCCTTAATGTACACATACTCACATAAATACATACACGCCTCACAGACCACATATGCACACACACACCATGTGTGTACACATTCGCATTTGCACACATATCACACATGCACACACTGTTGAAGAGAATTATGATATCACCGGTTTTGGGACCCTTCGTATATTTTGTTTTCAGGATAATACACTGAAGTTCAGTGTATTACTCTGAATTTTATCCCAATGTATAAATTTTATCACAATGTATGCTATATAGAAATGTGACCCATATGCAATTTGTTTTCCTAGATTGTATGAAATGGCCATTTGCAAAAGAATATAGTGCAAGATGGAAGAATGAAGTGACCACCTCTAGATTCTATTCTAACGGTAACAGTTCTTTGTAATTTTATAAGGATGTAGAATCCAGAGAGCTTTTATTTTCACTAACTCATTGTATCCCCAACAGTCCTGTATAAATGACACTCAAAAAGATGAAGGGAATTGACCAAGGTGTCAGAGTTCAGTCTAAAAGAAAGGACAGCTGGCTTCTTTTTTATAATCATGAAGCTGCTTTCCTCAGCTAGTTGCTGAAGAACCCAGCAATAAAGACAATTTAAGTGAGGCTTAACATTAATGTTTACATATAGATTATGTTAGGGTTTCCTAATCCTAGGTATTAAACATGTTTGCTATATAACAATGTAAAAAATAGGGAAAATAGGAGGAAATTACCATTAGAGATGATGATTATCAACATTTTTATGTATTTATTTGAAAATGTTTTCTTTTTTTTTTTTTTTAAAAGATATCATTATCAATTTTATTAACGGAGAGGGAGGGCAGTAGGGGAGAGAGGATGGAGGGGAGAGAAAAGAGAAGGAGGAGACAGAATGAAAGAGAATGAAGAGAAAGAAGAGGAGGAAACGACAAAGAGGAAGAGAGGCAGCAAGGCACAGGGAAATGAATGTGGAGTTTTGTGTTTTAATTAACTTCAAGAACACTGGATTGGGAATACTCATAATAATTTATTAATATCCATCATTTGGAAACTAGAAAGGAAAATGTTTTCTATGCATAGAATTTCTTTGTCATTTTGTTTATTTATTAGGTAACACTGAAGAATAACTTTTCTTATATTTTCAAAAACATTTTGTCATACATTTCCAATGTTAAATTATCTTTAACATCATATTTAATAGTTGTAAAATATTCCACCAAGTGGTTGTACCATAATTCACTTAGCAATCCTTGTTTTATTATTTAGATTGCTTCCAGTTTTTTGCATATCCACATTTCGATTCAGTTTTTCAGGATAGATGTCAAGAATTCGGATTATTCTTGGCTAATTGCAAATTGAGTATTTTTAACCAAATTGCTTGTTAAAGTGTTATACCAATCTATTTTTCATATTGTAGAAATGAAGCAAATTTAAAATGGAATATTGTTCTTAAAATACCTGTGGCACAGGAAATTTCTAACTGGTCACCTTTTCCCTACAGGACCCAATGTCTTGTTCAGCTCCCTTCTGCCTACTACAAATTCCATCTCTAACCTTAGACTGCTCATCCCACCCACAAATTTCCATTAATTTCTAGGGCATAAGAGTTGGTTTTACTTTACTATAAGCCCTTAAGACCTCATCTTTGTCAATCAAAATAGGTTATCAAGTATTTTTATAAAAAAAGTTAGTTCCCTCCTTAAGAGGGAGCCAGCTATTAAGATTAATTTTTTTCAACACCCTGTATCACTCACAAATGCCTTGAAAACATTTATTTATTTGTTTGTTTAGGCTGATGGATTTCAGGATCTTAATATGGATAAAATTTCTAGTTACAAAAGGTATTCTAAGACCAGGCATGGTGGTACATGCCTGTAATCCCAGAACTTTGGGAGGCTGAGGCAGGCAGATCACTTGAATTCAGGAGTTCAAGACCAGCCTAAGCAACATGGCAAAACCTCATGTTTCTATGGGGGTTGTAGAAACCCCATCTCTACAAAAACTACAAAAATTACCCAAGTGTGGTGGTGTGCACCTGCAGTCCTAGCTACTCAGGGAGGCTGAGGTGGGAAGATTGCTTGAACTTGGGAGGTTGAGGCAGTAGTGAGCTGTGGTCTTGCCACTGCATTCCTGCCTGGGCATCAGAGCAAGACCCTGCCTCAAAACAAATAAAAAACAACAACCCAAATTAGATATTCTAAGGAGAGAATCACCTGCAGGAAGTGGTGAGTTTTGTGCTACTGGAAATATCCAAGCAGAGGCTGGAGATCACTTGTCAGGACAATTGTAAATGGAATTCAAGCAACAGCTGACCATTGGCTAGAATAGATGACCTTGCAGATCCCTATGATATTGAGAGTCCATGAATTCATAATTTTATATCTTCTCTAAATATTAAATCACTTATTTATTGGTGTCCCTTTAATTACAGGCAGGTATAAATTGTTGGACTAATAGGTTGGATCTCATGTCATGTTGTTGCTTCACCTGCAGTTCCATGTGATCAGCTCTCTCTGGCAAGGTTCCTCTTGATGGAGTTCTTTCAGGTCATTTTTATGCCTCTGAGACATTTCAGCCCTTTTACTATTTTAGGAACACATTTCTAAATTATACAAGTCTTTCCTGACACAAGGGCTGTAACACCTTGCCAAGAGGAATTCTCCATGAATGGAATAAATGAAGAGAGATAGCCTGAGAAATACGTGTCAGTGCAGCTGTTCTGAGTTCCCTGAATTTATCTCAGTTTGAAGCTAAGGATTCCTGACGCTCAGGCCACATGATGCTTTTTGTTTTTGGAGTTAGTTATATCGGAAGAACACTGGCACTTCAAACAGCATGGGGTTGGAGAGGAGCTGGCATGATAGCCAGCCCACATCCATCACCAAATCACCTTCACTGGATGTTCACATCACCCACAACTTGGAATTCAGCATCACATTTCTGTTCAGAGTAGCTGAGGAACACAGTATCCTGATTTGATTATGTTATCAGGTTGATGCAAAAGTAATTGCGGTTTCTGCCATTACTTTTTTTTTTCCTTTTCTTCTTTTCTTTCTTTTAATTCTTATTTTTTTTTTAAGTTCTGGGGTACTTGTGCAGCATGTGCAGATTTTTTACATAGGTAAATGTGTGTCATGCTTGTTTGCTGCACCTATCAACCCATCACCTAGGTATTAAGCCCCGCATGCATTAACTCTTTTCCCTAATGCTCTGCCCGCCCCCCTGCCCTCCCCTGACAGACCCCAGTGAGTGTTGCTCCCCTCCCTGTGTCCATGGGTTCTCATTGTTCAGTTCCCACTTATAAATGAGAACATGTGGTGTTTGGTTTTCTGTTTCTGCATTACTTTGCTGAAGATAATGGCTTCCAGCTTCATCTAGGTCCCTGAATAGGACATTACATTTGAATGGCAAAAACTGCAGTTACTTTTGCACCAGCTTAATACTTTGCTCATAGGCAGTCGCCTATGGCTCTTTCATACAAGCCAAGAATAAAATATCACAAAGAACTCTGGGTGACAGAAATCCTGGGACCTAAAGTGTATCAAAATACTTCAAAATAAATATACCTTTTATCCTGACAATTTTTCTTCTAGGACTGTATCCTAAGGAAATAATGAGACAGATGTTCAAGCATGCCCAATTGTAATATTTCTCAATATCTCAAATCTGCAACTTTCTTCAATATCCTCAAATAAACTGTTTATGCGAAATGAGGTACATCCAGCCCATTAAGGATCATGTTGTAGAAAAAGATTTAGAGGCATAGAGGTATTTATGATACATTTCTCAGTAAAACAACCAGGCTACCAAGTAATTAATAATATTTTTTGTTAAAAACACATATGTATTTTTAAAGAGTGTATTTGATGTAGAAATAATAGTAATAGTTAATGTACATTGAGTGAATACTGTGTGTCAGGCACTACCCAAGTTGCTTTAAGTGTATTAAATAATTTAATTCTTTACAAAACTTGTGAGGTACTATTATTGCCCCTATTTTACAGATGAGGAAACAGGCACAGAAACCTTAGATAACTTGCTCAGGGTCACTAGGCAAAACAGTGATTCAATTGGGAAAAACTTGGCTCCAAAGTCTGAGCTGTTAACCACAACTACCACTGCTTAGACAGACTAAAAAGACAACCTCTGAAGCTGAATGTGATTTCCTATATGTATTGTTTACTATAAATTATATATACATATGTACACATATATTATCCACATATATGATACATATATGTAAATATTGATTATAGAAATGTGATTATATATGTGTTGTTAAGATTACAGGTAATATTTTTTCCTTTGAGCATTTATAAACAGGATAACCACACTTACAAAATAACATTACACAAAATACAGAATCTTGGAACCACAAGTAGTGGCTCTCAAATTTGGCTAACTAATTTGTCTGTACAAACAACATTAATTTAACTAGAAAAATAAATACAACATAGTTTTGCTGTGTGGATCCATCACTATTTGATATTCATGACTTAGCTTTGAGCCCATCAGCCCTCTGCTCCACAGAGAGAGCAGGAGAGCAGAACCAAAGCTTCTCATTTTCACTGTAGGTTTGGCCCTTAATTGGTCTCAGACCAGTGTTGACCTAGGCTGTTTGTATTGAGCAGTTGTCCTCCTTTCTTGTGTTGAAGGTCTCAGAATTGCAGAATGTTGAGGCCTGGAGCAGTATTTCTCAATTGAGGGTGACTTTGTTCCCCAGTGAACACTTGGTAATGTCTGGAGACATTTTTAGTTGTAACAAATGGGGCAGAGGTGCTCCTACTGGCATCGCGTGAGAGGCCAAGAATGCTGATCAACATCCTACAAGGCTCAGAACAAGGGGTTATCTGGCCCCAGTGTCTTAGTGTTGAGATTGAGAAGCCCTGCCCTATAGGGATGTCAGAGGTCATCTACTCCCATCACCTGTTTGGGAGGCGCTAAGATGACTCCCAGATGCTTTGACTTCCCCAAACTCACGGCTCTCTTCTTTCTGGCAGAATTCAGGAAGATGTATCTCTACACACACACATTCTGAGTTTTATGAGATGTGTGTAATGAAAAGGCCATGGGCACTGGGGTCAGACAGATCAGATAGCCCTATGCTAGGAACCTGGCCTGACCAATTACTACTCTGTGTGATGGTGGCAAATTATTTAACCTTTCCAAACTTCAATTCTCTCATCTGGAAGCTGGGGACAAGAATACTAACTTCCCAGGAGTTTGGTGAAGATTTTATGAAATGCTGTTTGTGAATATCTTGCAGAGTACCATTATGTAATGGGTGCTCCAAAATGTTTATTTCCTTTCCACTTTATCCTGAGGAAGAACATTTGTGATCAGGTTAAATAGTCACAATATAAAGAAAACATGAAGTGAGCCACTGGGCACAAATTAGGCTCTTACAAGTTGATATTGTGCAACATCAACTTTTACAGGTCTGGCTAATGCGGAATCAGTGCCTGGAAAATGACCAGCTTGCTGTGCAACTCATTGTTGGAGCGGGCATGGAAGTTGGCCTCACCTGCTTTTTCTAAGAGCAAATTCAGCACTGACTGTAGCAACTTGTTTTGGAATTACATTTGCCTCCTGCTTCCGCTCCTTCCACATCTCTATTAGCTAACTGGCTTAGACAAAACAGAACTGTGTGATTATTATAGTTACAATATTCATTAATACTTATGTGATGTTTTCTATGTGGCAGTTATTGTTCTAAATACTTTAAATATGCGAACATCTCATCTTTTAAAAAATACCATCTTTATTGAGGTATAATTGGTATACAGAAAACTGTACACATTTAAAGTGTACAATTTGATGAGGACATTATGCTAAGTGAAATAAACCGGTCACAAAGGACAAATACTAGGTGATTCCACTTATATGAGGTATCTAAAGTTGTCAACTCATAAAAGCAGAGAGTAGAATAGTGGTATCCAGGGGCTGAGCGAAGAGGGAAATGGGGAATTGATGTTCATTGGATGTAAAGTTTCACTTATACAAGATGAATAAGTTCTAGAGGTCTGCTGTACAACATTGTGCTCATAATTGTCTTATCTTTACATTAACCCTATGAAAGAGGCAGTAGTAGGCTGAATAATGGCCGCCAATGGTGTGCACATCTTAATCCCTGTAACTTGTTAAGAATATGTGATTTTATATGGCAAAAGGGACTTTGCAGAGATGATCAGATGGAGGACCTTGAGATGGAGAGATCATCCTAGATTACCTGGGTGAGCTCAATGTAAGCACATGGGTCCTTCCAAGCATAGGGCCTTTCCCTGCTGTGGTCACAGATATGCGAAGATAGAAGAGAGTCAGAAACATGCTCTACTGGCTTCAAAGATGAAGGGAGGCGGGCCATGAGCCAAGGAGTGCAAGTAGCCTCTAGAAGCTGAAAAAGGCAAGGGAACAGATTCACCCTTGGAGTCTTTAGAAGGATCTAACTCCAACTACATCTTGATTTTAGCCCAGTGAGACCAATTTTGGACTTTTGACCTCCAAAACTGTAATATAATAAATTTTAATAATAGAAAATCGAGGCTTGGTGAGATGAAGAAGCTTGGCAAGGTTTGCATGGTTAGAGCAGGTCTGAACTCACAGTGTGGAAGTGAGAATGGAGAGAAAGGGGTGGAAATGAAGAATCTCTTAGAAATAAAAGCAAATAAAAGGGCATTTGTGAATGATTGGAGACAGCATTGAAGGAAATATTTTTCATTTCATGTCATTAATTTATCTGAAAGACTATTCTAAATATAGCCTATTTAGTGTCCACACGGTTTTGATTTTTGTTCAGTCATTCAATGAGCATTTATTGAGTAGCTGCATTAAAAAATTCACTGTTGTAAGCATGGCAGGACTGTGTATATTACACGTACATTATATATTACTTGGTCTTGACTTTTAAGGAGCTTATAGTTTAGTGGAATTTATTCAAGGATCCTGGAAATATTGTTTCAAGCTTGGACAATTGAATGTCCTTTCCTAGAACTTTGGAACTTGAGCAAGTGGGACAGGACCAATGAGTGGCAGTCCTTTGAAGTTCTTCATAACCTAGAGCCTCTTCTATCTACAGGATGGACTAAAGTTCCTGCCTCTTTGCTTCCTGGAGCTTGGTTGGTTTCCATCTATTTCCAAACCTGGTTTTCCAGGCTTTTATTGATTCTGTGTGCCATTGAAATCCTTTGAAATCATTCCCCTTTCTTATATTAGTCAGAGTTGATTTCTTTGGCTTGCCTTCCTTATGTGCTCATATTTCAGCTTTCTTATCTTTGGTTTTTCCACATCCCAGGAGGGTGAGTCTCCTGCCTGTTCCATGGAGCAGGAGGCTGGGTCTACAGTGCAGTTTGGTTAGCTGCAGTGGTACCTGGGGAGCTCCCACCCCAGCTCAGAAGAGGCAGGGGTCCCACTTGTACCTGGCTCCTGCCTGCTAGGAGGAGCAGGAGACCTGGGTCTGCAGCCGGGGATTGGGTGGCTGCAGCTGCACCCAGGAAAGCAGGGATCCTGCCTGCTCCTGGCACCCCTAAGAGCACAGGGAGGCTCAGATATGCTGCCACAACTTGGGCAGCTGCAGCTCTACCAAGGAGGGTGGGGCTACTGTCTGCTCCATGAAGCGGGAAGGCCCCCCACCATCCCCATGGGGGTGCCACTCCTACTGCCTGGCCTCTCTCTGCTCCCAGCACCTGCCCCAGTCTTGGAGCAGGGCTGGGGCCAAGCCCAGGTGCTGTCACAGCTTGGCTGGATGTACACACGGCTCAGGGCAGTGCTGACATGCCTGCCCCCTGCTGCCTTGGCTCCCTCTGGAATTTGGGCAGCAACCAGCATGAGAGGGGAAACTGAAGGGGAGCTGAAGGTGACTGGGCACTGGCCTGCAGGTGCCCCTTGATGAAAGAAGCCTAGGCACCATGGATGGCTGCTAAAGGCTGACAGGTTCCTGGGTGGAAGAGGGAGGGTCCTCAGTAAGGCCCCACCTTCCGGCCAGGGAAGGCCTGAAGGTTGGGGGCTGGGCTGCCAGACCTGCCCACTGGAGTGGGGAATTGTGATGCCTTTTCCAGGCCTCCCATGGCTGCCCATGGACCAATTGACATGCACTACCTCCCCTCTGATGTCCATAAAAGCCCTGGGCTCAGTCAGAGCAGGGTAGAGGACAGAGAGAGGATGGGAAGACCAGCTGTAGAGAGGAGCTACCCTCTCTGCTGAGAGCTTCAGAGAACTTCAGGGATGTCAGGACTACCAGCTGCAGAGAGGAGCTACCCACTCCAGGGCCTCCCCTCTGCTAAGAGCTAGGCAGACATCAGGCTGATCAGCTACAGAGAGGAGTCTACCCTCTCCAGGGCCTCCTCTCTGCTGAGAGCTGAGCACTTGATGGGACGACCTGCCTACAGAGAGAAGACCCACTGCTGGTATCCTCTGAGTTGTTCTAACACTCAATAAAGCTCCTTTTCATCGTATTCACCCTCCACTTGTCTGTGTGCCTCATTCTTCCTGGATGCAGTACAAGAACTTATTCAAAGGTACCACTGGCCAGAGAGGTTTTGAGCCAGAAAATTGACACCCCAAAGATCCCGAAACAGTCATATAATAATGGATCAAAAAGACCCATTCACGTTGTTACTAGCTGAAACCCTTCTCTTTTTTGAATCAACAATGTACTAAAGTTCTCAGGATTTTCCCCTTCTGGGGCCCCCTCCTTCCCCTGAAGATGTTATGGCTCACACCCAATTCCCACTTTCCTTAGCATTTCTGTAATTTTTATAAAGAATGGGAAATACTGTTCTTTGCCTGTTTGTTAAACAAAGATTATGTTTCCCTGTTTTTTTCTGATCATTCATCTGTAATTTCAGAGGCTGAGAACAGGCTGACTTTAAGAGATTGTATGGACTTGCTCTTTTACATCAGAAGTGAGAAAGAAGAAGCTGGTTATGCAGTACTATTTTATTACTCCTCCTTAGGTGCTTGCATTTCTACTGCCTATGCTATTTCTACTTGGCTATATCAGAGAGTCCTCAGACTCTAAAACTATGATCTTCTTCTCTAACTCCCTTCCCCCAAACTAATCTGAAGCCAGCTCCTTCTTCAATCATCCTCTGAACCTGGCAATCATCCTTTTCATCTCTTTCTCTTTCAAACCCATCATCACCAGTTCTGCTCTTAAATAAATCTGAAATGTATCACATTTATCCATGTTTATTGCTACAACCCTAGCCCATGCTAATGGTATGTTTATCCTGGAATATAGACTCCTGAGAGATGTCTTTTTAGGAATCTTTTAGTAGCAAATACAGAAAACAGCTTAAACAATAAAAAACTTTTATCAGTTTATATAATTGAAAAGCCCAGAGTTGGGGTAGGATTCAGGCAAGACTTGATTGAGCATATCAACATGTCAACAAAATTCTGGTTTATTCTATTTCTCCTCTCAACCTTCTACTGTTTTATCTTGCTGCTGAAGCCGGCTCACAATGTCAAACAAGGGGGTTGTCAGGAGGTCTTAGAGCTTCATGCTTCTTTGTTCATGATCTTAGGGAAGACAGAACATCTCTCTCAGCAGTTTTTATAGAATGGTGACAAAGCTTCTTTTCCAGTGGTCTTTGTTAGAAAACACCCTCTCATATCCCATTTGCCCAATTTGGGTGATGTGTTTTTTGCTGTAGTCAGAGGGATGGATTTTGCTGACTGAAGTAACTAATTAAGGCTCATTCTTTGAGTTAAGGTAGGATAAATCTTATTTCAACCACATGGCCAGGAATGTCACAGGGGAAATTACCTGAAGGATTTTGAGGAAGTGTTAACTTAGAAGGAAGGTAAAAGGCAGCATGCATGAGATATCCACCACACTATATTTACTTTTGCCTTCATTCATTTTTTCTCCACAGTCTAGGTAGCGTAGTCTTTTAAAAAAGAAAATTGTGTTGTGCCACGTCTTTATTTAAAACTGCTCTTTGGCTTCACTTTCCTCTTTGGATAAAGATAAAATTTAAAAAGTCCTTATCATGCCTTACAAGTCCCACTGTGATCAGGCCTTGCCTATCCCTCCAGCCTCATCTGTTGCCACCATCTGCCCTTGGTAACCATCCACTCACAGCAGCTGGCTCTTGTTCATTGTCTTGGATTTTCACAGCTTTTACCTGTCTCAGCACCTTCAAATATACTGTGTCAGCTACCTGGAATGGTCTTACCTATACTCTTCACCTGGACAACTTCTATTTACCCAAGCTTCTCTGTTTTAGTCCTTTTTACTATTTAAAATAAGTTCTAATGAGGTTGTCTACTTAATGTTTGTCTTTCCAACTAGACTGTAAGCACCATGAATGAAAAGGCAGGGCTTACACTTTTTAAAAACCACAGTGTCCTTGGCATCTAGCATAGTCCTCGGGCCTTGTTTGATGAAGAGACCCACCATTTTCACTCTAACATCAAATAAAACCTCTTACCTGGTTTCAACAGCGGTTCCTCCATCTGCCTCTATTTGTTCATTTGTCACATGGGACATCATTACCCACCTTGCTCTTCAAAGATCCACCACTTTAAAGAGCGAAGGTGTCCTCATATATATTCTGGGAAAAAGACATTTATCTGTTGAAGACGTTATGAAATTAAATTAGCTAAAGTGTGTATAAATGCCTAGAGCACTTGGTATAGTCTGACAAATATTTGCTAACTTAAAATTGGAATCGGTATTTGGAGAACTTTGCACCAGGTATCTGTTCTAGTATTCACTAGTTTCCTGGAAAATAGCTGAGAGACCCTTGGAAAGTTATTTTGCCATTTATCTTTATAAATATTTTTTGAATCTCAGGACGTGTGGCATTTTCCCAGGCTATTCGGGGATAGGCAAGAAAGGGAATCTAGAATACCGAAGAGAGAACTCTGCAGAGCTGTGAGTCTTATTTGCACTTCATCCCAACTTGACATTAATGTACATATTTTACACTGAGATTGTTTTCTATTATTAAACTCTGAATCTCATTATATACCAACCTGCAAGGTCTTTGTGAAGGATTTTAGTCCTTTGCTCTTGTTTTCATTTTTCAGGTTGTACTTACGCTTGGCTGGATTTCTTTTTCAGATTTCCTTTGTTAAAGGCACTGTCATAAAAAAATCTTTTTACATGAATTATTGTTTCAAGAAGGGTTTTCTTAATGTATTTCTAAATATTCACTAAGGTTAGTGAATAGGAAAGGAGCTACTAATGTAGGTGGGCATGTTAACATTCATTGTCATTTTATTATTTTAAAACACTTTTTATTCTAAAAACAATGCATGTTCACTGTAGAGAATTTGGAAAATACAGACAAGGGGAAAAGGCATTTGTAATCTTATCACTCAAAGATACGGTTGACATTTTGATATTTTTGTCTTACAGACACATTCACACACACACATACGCACCATTTCAAATAACCAGAAGAGGGTAAAAATATTCAACAAGTTTTTTAATGTGTTCCACCCAACAATAAGTTATAATCACAATGAATTCTCTTATTAGTTTCTATACTTTCATCATTAGTTTTCTTGTATTTAGACCTATCATACAATATTTTTTACAATATTTTTGCCAATATTTATAACACTGATTTTGTTTTCATGCCTAATTGCATTGGCTTTCCAGGATGATGACAATTAATTGTGATAATATTAGCTCATCATGCACCTGGCTTTAATGGAAATGTGTTTAACTCTGTGTATGCTGTAAATTCTTATGCACACACACATATGAATTCATAGCATAACAGAGTTAAGCACATTTCCATTAAAGTCAGGAACATGATAGGCTAATAACTCATATGCACACACACATATGGATTCATAGCATAACAGAGTTAAACACATTTCCATTAAAGCCAGGAATGCTATGAATTGATAATGCATGTGTGTACATCTGTATTTTTGTCTTACATGAGAGTACAAGATTGGTTGGAGAAGTGAAATAAGTTACCATCAGTAAAGATTAGGAGACTGAATACACTTAGAACAAACAAATTGTTCCAGCTTTTTGGAGTTAAGAAAAGTTTAAAGGTGAAGGAAACCTAAAGGCTGACTCATTGCTGTCCTTTCTGAGACAGTAACAACTGGTAGAAACTCACCTCAATGCCATTTTTGGGAGAGGCAATTATGAGTTGGGAAGTAGCAGGGGAATAAGTCACGCAGAATCCCTTTTGCTGTCTTGGAGCAAGAACACTTGAAGGCAGCTCCAGGATCTGCACAGTTGCTAAATCAAGCAAAAGGTTGGCAGCACAGCAGGGCCTTTGTATCCAACAGAAGGCCCAGGGAGGAGGCTTAGGAGGACCAAACCATGTTACAGGCCCAGAGGCTGGGCTAAGTACCATTTGACCTAGCAATCCCATTACTGGGTATATACCCAAAGGATTTTAAATCATGCTGCTATAAAGACACATGCACATGTATGTTTATTGCGGCACTATTCACAACAACAAAGACTTGGAACCAAGCCAAATGTCCAACAATGATAGACTGGATTAAGAAAATGTGGCACATATACACCATGGAATACTATGCAGCCATAAAAAATGATGAGTTCATGTCCTTTGTAGGGACATGGATGAAGCTGGAAACCATCATTCTCAGCAAACTATCGCAAGGACAAAAAACCAAACACCGAATGTTCTCATTCATAGGTGGGAATTGAACAATGAGAACACATGGACACAGGAAGGGGAACATCACACACAGGGGGAGGGATAGCATTAGGAGATATACCTAATGTTAAATGACGTGTTGATGGGTGCAGCACACCAACATGGCACATGTATACATATGTAACTAACCTGCACGTTGTGCACATGTATCCTAAAACTTAAAGTATTAAAAAAAAAAAAAGCTCTCAAGAGAAAGCTGGCCTCTGTCACAACTGTGTAACGGAACATGAGAAGAAAATGACACATGAAGTTTCCTTGCTACAGCTGCCATCGGTTCTCTGAACTGTGATGTAAAGGCGCATAAAGAAGCATTCATGTTTACAACTGAAGAAATTCCAACAACAATCAGGTGGGCAGCAAGGGAAAACTTAGGCCTCTTCTAATTACAGAGTGAAAAGTAAAGAAAAATCAATATGGGATTCTTCAAAAATAGGATGGCAAAACAAAGACATTAAAAATGCAGAAGAAGGACAAACATTTTGATACAAATTTGCTGTAGGATTTACAAAGTATTTTGATAACATCTGTTTCTGGGATTAACTAAATACTTCGTGTTTCAGTGACTCTGTGATAAAAGATAAAAGACAATATAATGAAGCATTATATTAAGAATGAACAAAAGAGTATCTTGAAAGGCATGCAGAAATAAAGACCTGGATTAGAGTTTAATTAAATTAAAAATATAATTTCAGATTTAAAATCAGAATTAGAAGGACATAAAGCAGAAAAGATTTTAGGAAATTACATAATATATGCAGAAGACAGTTTTGAGATGCTTTCTTGGAATATAGAAAAAAGGCCATGAAATGTAAAGATGATAGGAAAATGTCAGATATGGCAGATATTAAAAATATAAATACATGCCATATAAAGAAATCAGGAGAAAAGGAAAATAAGTTGTGTTAAATAATTTTTACTCAATGGAAAACCCCCTGAATCTGCAGGTCAAAAGGGCTCAGTGTACCTACAGTGAAAATCCTGGTAAGATGAATAAATTTCATGGACAAAGGAAGAATCAATAGTGAGGACCATGCCACCTGGAGCTTCTTTCTTCACCACAGATCAATAGCGTTTGGACATGGCTGTGATGAGGCTAAGAGAGTAACATGGCGATACCAAATAGGAAACCAGCAGGTGTCAGGCTTTTTCTTGACATGACTTCCCACTAATGAGATGGGGTCACCCCAAAAATGATGGGCAGTAATATCAGCAAGAAGGATTCCCTCAGTCATACTGAGTACAAGGAATGGAGAATCAAATACAGAAAGGTGGTTGTGGCTTCTCAACAAAGAAGTGGTTACAGAAAGACAATTGCTGAGATTTCCCCTAGTCCCAGATCCTCTGTCAGGCTGAAAGACTGTGAAAGCTTTTTTCATTTTAGAATTTAAGAGGACTTTAATGGTGTTCAGGGCATCAGGGAAAGGACCTAGGAAGAAATTAACCAGATCATTTTGAGAGTAAATGAAAGTCCAGGTTAAAGTTATTTTCATTCAAAGATGAAAAATAAAGCCAAATAAAATAGAATGGCATCTGACATAGAAACTATAAAGTGATTCTGAAAGATAAAATAAGAAAAGTAGAAAGAGGCAGAAGAAAAGCATGTTTTTTGAGAATAATTTTCAGCAAGAAACAGAAGTGCTCCTACGCAGTGCTGTCAGTTAAAACACGAACTCTTGAAGAAATAGTTGATTGATGACATATTAGAACAAGGAACTGAATTAAAATAGAGCCAGCCCAGTCAAGCAAAGTAGAGAAAAAATGCCACAGCACGTCTTAAAATGTTGTTAGAGATGTGCAAATTAACCACAGTGAGATACCACTACATGCTCACTAGAATGGTTGTAATCCAAAAGATTAACAATATCAAGTGTCGGCAAGGATGTGGAGAAACTGAAACCTTCATACATGACTGGTGGGAATGAAAAATGGAGCAGCCACTCTGGGAAACAGTTTCAGTTTCATAAAACTTAAAAACTTATACTTTCCAGATGTCATAACAATTCTTCTCCTAGGTACCTACCCAAGAAAAGACTTGTTTGCAAATGTTCATAGTAGCATTATTTATAAGAGCCCCCAAACCTCTAAAATCCACTGTCTGTTAACTGGTGAATGAACAAACAAAATATACTATTTATACTATATTTTGTTTGTTCATTCACCAGTTAACAGACTATATAACAATCCTTATATATAGTAGATATAGTATATATATATATAGTGTGTGTGTGTATATATATATATATAATGAAATACTACTCAGCAATTGGAAGAAATAAGCTACAGACACATGCCACAACATGGATGAACTTGAAACATATTATGCTCTCTTGTCCCTTATTCGTATAATGTATCTGTTTGGAAAAACCCCAACCCTGGATTAACTCAACTATCTGCCTTTGCCTTGCCTGCATGCAGCTACCTTGTTCTGTGAGCAAAAATTCACAATCTGATCAAATTTTTGTCACTATGAATTTATGATTACCAGTTTCCTCGGCAACTCAAACTCTGTCCCTACACAACTGTTTCATATTTTCTTCTCCTTAGACATCTGATACCTCCTTTTCCCAATTATTCCTATATAGTACTCGAAGCAGATTAAGATACAGTACCTCTTACTTGACAGATAAAATAGATGCTTTCAGATAGGACTTCTGTGAACCTCCCTTCACCAAATTTGTTAACCTGCAATCTTGCTTTTCCTTTTATTTTTCATCTTTCTCACCTATTTGAAGAGTTGTCTCTCCTCTTACCTATTTTCCCACCTATTTTATCTACTAATAATTTATACTTTCTTGCTTCTGAATCTTCAACACATCCCTTTCTAATATAAACTTCCATAAATATTTAAATTGATAATGTCTTTCCCATCTTAAAAAAAATCTCAGTCTGACTTGCTTTTTTTTTTTCTGTACAGACACCTCTCTCCTACCATTCACAGCAAAGCTTCTTAAATAAATCTTAGTGATTATCTCCATTTCTTCTCTTCCTTTTTTTCCCTCAGTCTATTCTAAAATATCTTTTACCATGCTAGTGTAACTGTATGCATTAAGTTCACCAGTGGTCTTCCCGTAACTTATTCCCACAGTCATTTTTCCATCCTTATTTGCCCTCTCAGTAGCATTCAATGTTATTGACCATTCTCTGTTTCTTGAAAGTCTTTTCCCTTGGTTTCCATGACAGCACACTCTCTCGGGCTGCTTTACTCCTCTCTATTGATCCTTCCCAGTGTCTATGGTAGTTCTACCCTTTTAATCCAATCTAAATGTTGTAATAATTCAGTATGTTAAACTTGCTTCTTTCCTGTATATACTCTCTGAGTAATGTGACTCATTCTCACTGCTTCACTTAGCATCTATATTCTAACGATCCTTAAAAGTCTATTTCTAGCCTGCACCTTCTCCCAGGGTTCTTGACCTGTATTTGCAGCTGCCTATTGAATATCTGCAGCTGAAAGTCTCACTAATGCCTCAAACTCAATATATTTATAGTGTAATCCATCATATCTAATCCCCACTAACAAATCTGCACCAATATTAGTTGCCCACTTCTCATCAAATGGTATTACCATCTCCCTAGTTTAAGAAGCCAGAAACTTTAGAGTGATCTTTGATTTTTCCTCTCTCTTTCCTCCTCTCATCCAACCAGTGACCAAGAACCCTATATTTTATGCTCAAATTATCTCTTAAGTCCATTCACTTCTCTTTAATCCTACTGCCATTCACTAGTCCCCGTCACCATCATCTTTCATGTAGATTACTTAGATAGCATCTGAATTGGCTCACTATTGTCCCTTTCTATACCATTCTCCATTTATTGTTACAGATATATTTTTTAAAATATAAATATGATTATGTTACATCTGTGCTTAAAATTTTTCTATGGTTTCCTACTACTTCGAAGTGCCAAATTCTTAACATAGATCCCTATATTTTCTTTGGACTTTGCTTACTTCCCTACATTTCTAGCTACAGTCATTCATAGAATACATATTTATTAAGTGTCTGCACATACTTATCAGTGCTGGGAACTACAGTGAACAGATTTCTGCCTATGTGGTGCTTACACTCTACTGGAAGGAGACAGTATCAGTTCTTCAAGGAACTGCTTTCTTAATCATACACTAGTTGAGCCTTTGATTGAATGCACCTAAAATATCCAGAACTACTGTCTCAGAACTACCAATCAAATTATGATTACTTGCTCAGTGTCTTCATTTCTTATCAGGCTGTTAACTCTGTGGGGGAAAGGATTTGTTCTTGCTCACTGTATTTTATAGCACTTAGCACAGTATATGGTAAAGTTACAGTAAATATTTATGGAATGACTAGCTGGGATAAATGTCTATTTTAACCACAATTATTTATTTATTTATTTATTTATTTAATTATGTTTTAAGTTCTGGGGTACACTTGCAGAACGTGCAGGTTTGTTACATATGTATACATGTGCCATGATGGTTTGCTACACCCATCAACCTGTTATCTACATTAGGTATTTCTCCTAATGCTATCCCTCCCCTACCCCCGCATTTCCCGACAGGCCATGGTATGTGATATTCCCCTCCCTGTGTCCATGTGTTCTCATTGTTCAACTCTCGCTTATGAGTGAGAACGTGCGATGTGTGGTTTTCTGTTCTTGTGTTAGTTTGCTGAGAATGATGGTTTCGAGCTTCATCCAGGTCCCTGCAAAGGACATGAACTCATCCTTTTTTATGGCTGCATAGTAATCCATGGTGTATATGTGCCACATTTTCTTTACCCAGTCTATCACTGATGGGCATTTGGGTTGGTTCCAAGTCTTTGCTATTGTGAATAGTGCTGCAATAAACATACGTGTGCATGTGTCTTTATAGTAGAATGATATATAATCCTTTGGGTATATACCCAGTAATGGGATTGGTGGGTCAAATGGTATTTCTAGTTCTAGATCCTTGAGGAATTGCCACACTGTTTTCCACAATGGTTGAACAAATTTACACTCCCAACAACCGTGTAAAAGCTTTCCTATTTCCTCACATCCTCTCTAGCATCTGTTGTTTCCTGACTTTTTAATAATCACCATTCTAACTGGCATGTGATAGTATCTCATTGTGGTTTTGATTTGCATTTCTCTAATGACCAGTGATGATGAGCTTTTTTTCATATGTTTGTTGGCTGCATAAATGTCTTCTTTTGAGAAATGTCTGTTCATATCCTTTGCCCACTTTTTGATGGGGTTGTTTTTTTCTTGTAAATCTGTTTAACTTCTTTGCAGATTCTGGATATTAGCCATTAGTCAGATGGATAGATTGCAAACATTTCCCCCCCATTATTTAACCCCATTCTGTAGGTTGCCTGTTCAGTCTGATGATAGTTTCTTTTGCTGTGCAGAGGTCTTTATTTTAATTAGATCGCATTTGTCTATTCTGGCTTTTGTTGGTATTGCTTTTGGGGATTTAGTCATGAAGCCTTTGCCCGTGCCTATGTCCTGAATGGTATTGCCTAGGTTTTCTACTAGGGTTTTTATGGTTTTAGGTCTTACGTTTAAGTCTTTAACCCATCTTGAGTTAATTTTTGTATGTAGTGTAAGGAAGGGATCCAGTTTCAGCTTTCCGCATATGGCTAGCCAGTTTTCCCAACACCATTTATTAAGTAGGGAATCCTTTCCCCATTGCTTGTTTTTGTCAGGTTTGTCAAAGATCAGATGATTGTAGATGTGTGGTATTATTTCTGAGGTCTCTGTTCTGTTCCATTGGTCTATATATCTGTTTTGGTACCAGTACCCTGATGTTTTGGTTACTGTACCCTTGTAATACAGTTTGAAGTCAGGTAGGGTGATGTCTCCAGCTTTGTTCTTTTTGCTTAGGATTGTCTTTGCTATGCAGGTTCTTTTTTGGTTCCGTATGAACTTCAAAGCCATTTTTTCCAATTCCATGAAGAAAGTCAATGATAGGTTGATGGGGATAGCATTGAGTCTATAAATTACTTTGGGCAGTATGGTCATTTTCACAATATTGATTCTTTCTATCCATGAGCATGGAATGTTTTTTCATTTATTTATGTCCCCTCTTATTTCCTTGAACAGTGGTTTGTAGTTCTCCTTGAAGAGGTCCTTCACATCCCTTGTAAGTTGTATTCCTAGGTATTTTATTCCCTTTGTAGCAATTGTGAATGGGAGATCACTCATGATTTGGCTCTCTGTCTATTATTGGTTTATAGGAATTGTTGTGATTTTTGCACATTGATTTTGTATCCTGAGACTTTGTTGAAATTGATTATCAGTTTAATGAGATTTGGGCTGAGATGAAGGGGTTTTCTAAATATACAATCATGTCATCAGCATACA
This sequence comes from Homo sapiens, assembly GCF_000001405.40. Lineage (NCBI taxonomy): Eukaryota > Metazoa > Chordata > Mammalia > Primates > Hominidae > Homo > Homo sapiens. The sequence goes on from NC_000009.12 coordinate 100,825,389, forward strand.
GGGACAATTTGACTTCCTCTTTTCCTATTTGAATATGCCTTATTTCTTTCTCTTGCCTGATTGCCCTGGCCAGAACTTCCAATACTATGTTGAATAGGAGTGGTGAGAGAAGGCATCCTCATCTTGTGCCGGTTTTCAAAGGGAATGTTTCCAGTTTTTTTCCCATTCAGTATGATATTGGCTGTGGGTTTGTCATAAATAGCTCTTATTATTTTGAGATTTGTTCCATCAATACCTATTTTATTGAGAGTTTTTAGCATGGAGGGCTGTTGAATTTTGTCAAATGCTTTTTCTGCATCTCTTGAGATAATCATGTGGTTTTTGTCATTGGTTCTGTTTATGTGATAGATTACTTTCATTGATTTTCATATGTTGAACCAGCCTTGCATCCCAGGGATGAAGCAGACTTGATTGTGGTAGATGAGCTTTTTGATGTGCTGCTGGATTTGGTTTGCCAGTATTTTATTGAGGATTTTTGCATCACTTTTCATCAGGGATATTGGCCTGAAATTTTCTTTTTTTGGTGTGTCTGTGCCAGGTTTTAGTATCAGGATGATGCTGGCCTCATAAAATGAGTTAGGCCCTCTTTTTCTTTCTTTTTTTTTCTTTTTTTTTTTAGATGGAGACTCGCTTTGTCACCCAGGCTGGAGTGCAGTGGCACAATCTTGGCTCACTGCAAGCTCCGCCTCCCAGGTTCATGCCATTCTCCTGCCTCAGCCTCTTGAGTAGCTGGGACTATAGGCGCCCACCACCACGCCCGGCTAATTTTTTGTATTTTTAGTAGAGACGTGGTTTCATCATGTTAGCCAGGATGGTCTCAATCTCTTGACCTCATCATCCACCTGCCTCAGCCTCCCGAAGTGCTGGGATTACAGGCAGGAGCCACTGCGCCCAGCCAAGGCTATTCCATTGTTTGGAATAGTTTCAGAAGGAATGGTACCAGCTCCTCTTTGTGCCACTGATAGAATTCTGCTGTGAATTTGTCTGGTCTTGGACTTTTTTTGGTTGGTAGGCTATTAATTACTGCCTCAATTTCAGACTTTGTCATTGGTCTATTCAGGGATTTGACTTCTTCCTGGTTTAGTCTTGGTAAGGTGTATGTGTCCAGAAATTTATCCATTTCTTCTAGATTTTCTAGTTTATTTGCGTAGTGGTTTTTATAGTATTCTCTGACGGTAGTTTGTATTTCTGTGGGATTGGTGCTGCTATCCACTTTATCATTTTTTAGGCATCTATTTGATTTTTATCTCTTTTCTTCTTTATTAGTTTTGCTAGCAGTCTATCTGTTTTGTTGATCTTTTCAAAAAACCAGTTCCTGAGTTCATTGATTTTTTGAAGGGCTTTTCATGTCTCTATCTCCTTCAGTTCTGCTCTGATCTTAGTTATTTCCTGTCTTCTGCTAGCTCTTCAATTTGTTTGCTATTGCTTCTCGAGTTATTTTAATTGTGATGTTAGGGTGTCGATTTTAGATCTTTCCTGCTTTCTCTTGTGGGCATTTAGCGCTATAAATTTCCTTCTACACACTGCTTTAAATGTGTCCCACAGATTCTGGTACATTGTGTCTTTGTTCTCATTGGTTTCAAAGGACATCTTTATTTCTGCCTTATTTTGTTATTTACCCAGTAGTCCTTCAGGAGCAGGTTGTTCAGTTTCCATGTAGTTGTGCAGTTTTGAGGGAGTTTCTTAATCCAGAGTTCTAATTTGATTGCATTGTGATCTGAGAGACTATTGGTTATGATTTCTGTTCTTTTGCATTTGCTGAGTAGTGTTTTATTTCCAATTATGGGTCAATTTTAGAATAAGTGCGATGTGGTGCTAAGAAGAATGTATATTCTCTTGATTTGGGGTAGAGAGTTCTGTAGATGTCTATTAGGTCTGCTTGATCCAGAGCTGAGTTCAAGTCCTCGATATCTTTGTTAATTTTTTGTCTCATTGATCTGTCTAGTGTTGACAGTGGGGTGTCAAAGTCTCCACTATTATTGTATGGGAGTCTAAGTCTCTTTGTAGTTCTCTAAGAATTTGCCTTATGAATCTGGGTGCTCATGTATTGGGTGCATATATATTTAGAACAGTTAGCTCTTCTTGTTGCATTGATCCCTTTACCATAATGTAATGCCCTTCTTTGTGTCTCTTGATCTTTGTTGTTTTAAGTCTGTTTTATCAGAGACTAGGATTGCAACCCCTGCTTTTCTGCTTTCCATTTTCTTGGTACATATTCCTCCATCCCTTTATTTTCAGCCTATATGTGTCTTTGCATGTGACATGAGTCTCCTGAATACAGCACACTAATGGGTCTTGACTGTTTATCCAATTTGCCAGTCTGAGTCTTTTAATTGAAGCATTTAGCCCATTTACATTTAAGGTTAATATTGTTATGTGTGAATTTGATCCTGTCATTGTGATGCTAGCTGGTTATTTTGTCCGTTAGTTGATGCAGTTTCTTCATATTTTCAATGATCTTTACAATTTGGCATGTTTTTGCAGTGACTGGTACCAGTCATTCCTTTTCATGTTTAGTGCTTCCTTCAGTAGCTCTTGTAAGGCAGGCCTGGTGGTGACAAAATCTCTCAGCTTTTGCTTTTCAGTAAAGGATTTTATTTCTCCTTTCCTTATAAAGCTTAGTTTGGCTGGATATGAAATTCTGGGTTGAAAATTCTTCTCTTTAAGAATGTTGAATATTGGCCCCCACTCTCTTCTGGCTTGTAGGGTTTCTGCCAAGAGATCCGCTGTTAGTCTGATGGGTTTCCTTTTGTGGGTAACCCGACCTTTCTCTCTGGCTGCCCTTAACATTTTTTCCTTTATTTCAACCTTGGTGAATCTGAAGAATATGTGTCTTGGGGTTGCTCTTCTTGAGGAATATCTTTGTGGTGTTCTCTGTGTTTCCTGAATTTGAATGTTGGTCTGCCTTGCTAGGTTGGGGAAGTTCTCCTGGATAATATCCTGAAGAGTGTTTTCCAATTTGGTTCCATTTTCCCCGTCACTTTCAGGTACACCAATCAAATCTATATTTGTTTTTCTCACATAGTCCCATATTTCTTGGAGGCTTTGTTAATTTCTTTTCACTCTTTTTTCTCTATTCTTGTCTTCTTGCTTTATTTCATTGAGTTGATTTTCAAGCTCTGATATCCTTTCTTCCACTTGATTGATTTGGCTATTGATACTTGTCTATGCTTCACGAAGTTCTTGTGCTGTGTTTTTCAGCTCCATCAGGTCATTTATGTTCTTTTTTAAACTGGTTGTTCTAATTAGCAATTCACCTAACCTTTTCTCAAGGTTCTTAGCTTCCTTGCCTTAGGTTAGAACATGCTCCTTTAGTTCAGAGGAGTTTGTTATTACCCACCTTCTGAAGCCTACTTCTGTCAATTCGTCAAACTCATTCTCTGTCCAGTTTTCTTCCCTTGCTGGCGAGGAGTTGTGATCCTTTGGAGGAGAAGAGGCATTCTGGTTTTTGGAGTTTTCAGCCTTTTTTTCTGGTTTCTCCCCATCTTTGTGGACTTATCTACCTTTGGTCTTTGATGTTGGTGACCTTCGGGCCTCTGAGTAGACATCCTTTTTGTTGATGTTGCTATTATTCCTTTCTGTTTGTTAGTTTTCCTTGTAACAGTCAGGCCCCTTTTCTGCAGGTCTGCTGGAGTCTACTGGAGGTCAACTCCAGATGCTGTTTGCCTGGGTATCACCAGCAGAGGCTTCAGAACAGCAAAGATTGCTGCCTTGTCCTTCCTCTGGAAGCTTGGTCCCAGAGGGGAACCTGCCAGATGAGGGGAACCTGCCAGATGTTAGAGCTCTCCAGATGAGGTGTCTGTCAGCCAGTACTGGGACATGTCTCCCAGTTAAGATACACGGGGGTCAGGGAACCACTTTAGGAGGCAGCCTGTCCCTTATCAGAGCTCAAATGCTATGCTGGCAGATTTGCTGCTCTCTTAAGAGCTGCCTGGCAGCGATATTTAAGTCTGCGGAAGCTGCACCCACAGCCACCCTTTCCCCCAGGTGCTCTGTCCCAGGGAGATGGGGGTTTTATCTATAAGTCCCTGACTGGGGCTGCTGTCTTTTTTTCAGAGATGCCCTGCCCAGAGAGGAGGAAATCTAGAGATGCAGTCTGGCTGCAGCAGCCTTGCTGAGCTGAGGTGGGCTCTGCCCAGTCTGAACTTCCTGGCGGCTTTGTTTACACTGTGAGGGTAAAAATGCCTAGTCAAGCTTCAGCAATGGCAGATGTCCCTCCCCCTACCAAGCTTGAGCATCCCAGGTCGACCTCAGACTGCTGCGCTTGCAGCAAGAGTTTCAAGCCAGTGGATCTTAGCTTGCTGGGCTCTGTGGGGGTGGGACCTGCTGAGCCAGGCACCAGAGGGAATCTCCTGGTCTGCTGGTTGTGAAGACCATGGGAAAAGTGCAGTATCTGGGCTGGAGTGCACTCTTCTTCCTGGTACAGTCTCTAAGGGCTTCCCTCGGCTAGGAAAGGGAAATCCTCCAACCCCTTGTGCTTCCTGGGTAAGATGACGCCTCACCCTACTTTGGCTCATCCTCCATGGGCTGCACCCATTGTCCAACCAGTCCCAATGAGAAGAACTGGGTACCTCAGTTGGAAATGCAGAAATCACCCACCTTCTGCATTGATCTCACTGGGAGCTGCAGACCAGAGCTGTTCCTATTTGGCCATCTTGCCAGCAAGTCCCTACCACAATTATTTTTAATGGTGGAAATACTGCTGATGATCTTCATTATTTTATTTGAAAAAAATTTAAATCAGTATAATTAAACTACTATTTTATATAAAGAAAAAAATAAACAATACATAATTCAAAAGTCATGGATCTGAATCCAAGTGGTTTTTGCCTATATAATCTTGAGGGAGTGGAAGGAAATTTGTTTGAATTACTTTGTTTTATTCAAACTAGCAAAGCATAAGCTAAATAATCTGCTTAGAATTGAGTAGCAAATTTTTGATGGGTTATTAGGTGACTGAATCAGATACAAAAATTTAGTTATATTTTTACAATTAAATGGTGGAAACTTGCATTTAAACTTTTAAAGAGACTGTAAGGTCATGCTAGTTTGGCTTCTTAACAATTTGGTGCTTATTAAATATTTAGCAAGGCTAGTGAACAGGTTAATGTTATTGTAGGAGTGGTTTCTAGACTTTTCTACAAAGTTGAGTTCAAGGTGATCCTGTATGACCATGGTCCCCCAAAGAATCAAGATTATAAATATGCATAACATAAAGGACTTGCCACGTAAGGACCATAGAAGGCATACCGGAAATGCACTACAGGGCAATAGTTTTGGGTATTGCTAATATCATCATTATTCAAAGGTGAATTAGTTTTTAATTTAAACATGAAATTCCATTATCAAGTTTCTGCAAGTCCTAAAAAACAATTTATTCATTTGCCTCCTCTGTACATTTTTTATACAGTATTTAATCTCTGATTTCCTTAAAGATTGCTGACATTGTTGAAAACTGGATCACTTAATCAGTGGATGGCATAAAATGAAAAAAAAATCACTCTTCGTGCTGCACGTCATTTTGCAATTACACAACTCTCCAGTCTCTTTTAGGGCAAATGTGAAAACCAAAGGGAGGAGAATTATCAAGCATATATTATGAATTTGAAAGAAGTCCTTTGATTTACTTCAATGCAAAGTACCCTTTGGGTTACTCTTTGCATAAGCTATACTGAGCTCTGCTCACATCATGTTGGTAACAATATATTTTAGTATATCATCTTTGACTTTAGTGTTGCTTTTTCTTTTTGGTTTGTGTTATTTTGAATCCTCTTCTGTTATAGAATAGTATTTATAGGACGGACTGTCATTATATATTATATATATTTACATACGCACTCACATAGACATACATTTTTAAAATTAGCATCACTGCTTTATCACAATGCCATACCTGGGTACATTAGATTCTTCTTATAGTGTAGCATCAAGAAAAATTATGGAGTCAAAAGAGCTGTTTTCGTATTCTAATCTGCCACTTATTAGCCATAATTGGGTATATCAACCTGCTCTTCGTTTTTAGATCCCAGAAAGGGGATTTCATCATTGTCTAAATGTACATAGAACAAAGTCAAGGAAATAAAAAAAACCTGTTTGTTGAAAAACATGATATCTAGGCAGACTGCTTCTCATCTGATGATGAAGACAACAACAGCAACAGCAACAACCACAGCAACATCTGCCACAGCAACATGAGGCCAACAGAAAAATTGCATCAGAGCCAGGAAAAGGAAATAGCCTGACTCAGAGGCTGAGGCTAAAAATTATGTGTGTGTATATATATATATATATATATATATATATATATATATATATATAAATGGATATATATAAATATATATATGGAGAGAGTATATATTTATAAAAATATTTATATTTTATCATGTATATATTTATTACAATATTTATATTTTATTTATTATAGTATATATTTATAAATATATTTAAACAAAAAATTTATAAAACATATGTACATATTTTAGAAAACTATTTGTTGATAAGAGGTATAGGTCTTTTGAAAAAGGAAAGAATAGTATGAGGAAAGAATAGAGAAAAGGAAACAGAAATCATAGAGACGAAAGCAGAAATGTTTCCTGAAAGGAGTTTATAAAAAATGAAAAAGAGAATTAAAAATTAAAAAGAAAACCATACCTGGATAGTTACTGGCAAAATTTACTCAGTTGAAAGGGATATAATCTCATTGCATATGATGTTTACCTGCAAAGGAATAAAAATCTTCCTGACTCAGAATTCTCCTTAGAAAGGATAAATGCTGAAGAACAATGGGACACTGATTTCGAATCTATAAGGAAACTTTTGAGACCTTACCAATTTAATGCCTATTTAAATTAGAGTTTATGTGTAAAGGCAAGAGAAATACATATCATGTATGTAAGGTATGAACAAAAGTTATTTGAAAAGAAATTAGAGGAAAGATACTTTATTTCAGTGAAGAGTTTGCAAATGAGGGCAACAGGAGCCTTTGGTGAAATCCAGCAGACTTTGTTGAAAAATAAAGCTGTGTTCCAGAGAATAAAGGGAGGGTTTGTCTTTTATTGGGAAAGTTTCTATTCAGGTTCACTTATGTAAATGAAGTGTTCAAATTTGCTTACTCTGATTAGTTGGTGTTTGTTGAACTGTGGTCGATGCTTGCTGGGTTATGATTGGCCAATGTAGGTCACAGCCTATTGGTTAGCTCAGGTAGCATAAACACAGGTAGCTATGAAAGTTCCAAAGTTAAGAAGATGTGCCGGTTCTTTTGGAACTCAGAGTAGGTGTGTGACCTCTAGTAAGCAAATGACTGTTTGGGTCTAATTTGAATTTAGGCCCAGTTAGTCAGTTAGGATTAATCTTGAGGGACTGGATCTTTCAAAGTTCAGAAAGGCATGGAGAAATACGTACATATATTGGATGTTTTACTCCATTATTCCAAAAATAAATAAAACATGGTATAAATGAATTTGTGGGGTTTTTTTAAACCAGTGAAACAGAATTAAGTCAAACATTTATAGTAAAATGAGTTTTTAAATCAAATGAGGGTTTCAAAATTTTTTCTCGGTGAGAAAATATGTGATCTTATGGCTGCATAGTATTCCATGGTGTATGTGGACACAGGAAGGGGAGCATCACACACTGGGGCCTGTTGTGGGTGGGGGGAAGGAGGAGGGATAGCATTAGGAGATATACCTAATGTAAATGACGAGTTAATGGGCGCAGCAAACCAACACGGCATATGTATACATATGTAACAAACCTGCACGTTGTGCACATGTACCCTAGAACTTAAAGTATAATAAAAAAGGAAATAAAATAAATAAGAAAATAAATAAATAAATAAAATAATAAATAAAATAATAAAATAAATAAGAAAATAAAAAAGAAATAAAATAAAATAAAAAAGAAAATATGTGATCTTAAAATTTTATTAGCAATAATTTTGACCTAACATGTTATGTAAGGTAGGGATATATGTAGTGAAAAGGGTTCCATGTAGTTTTATACACACACACACACGCACGCACGCACGCACACACTGCTTTTATGTGCTCAACTGCTGAATGCAGACATGATAGCTTGCGTATGTGCACCAGGTGCCCCACACCATTATGCCATTAGTTTAAAGCTTGTATCTCTTTTGATGGGCGGAAGCTTACATTCTGATTTGCTATACTATACCCATTGATAAATGTTTTAAATGTTTTGAATATCATCCAGGTTAAATGCATGAATGGATAAATATATTATTAGAGTTGATCTCTTCTTTTATCCTTACACATGTATTCTTCTAGATATCACCTTCACATTTAAGAATCTTTGAGCAGGTGTATAACTTATCAACACACAATAAAATTATTCCCCTCCTTCCTTCACATAAGTCACAATATTCCATTTCCATGCAGCTGCTTATCAAGTCTGAGGACTACAATGATGTTGCATTTGTGTTTTTTGTTTTGTTTTTACAATATCGAGATTTCTGTGTTCTCTACTTACACTCTACATAGTAGTATATAATCATCTAAGGCGATGACTGTTATTTCTGAATATTTTAAAACTTGCTGTTTTGTGGACACCACGGTGTACCAGGTTATTTTTATTGGGTCTCCATAGTAAGTGGATACACACTTCAGTTTCTTATTTTCTCCCTCCCTCTTTAGAGACACATTGAATATTAAGATTAGAAGAGCCCTTAGACATTGTCTTGTCATTTAAAAATTGGCTAGTACAAAATTAGTACAATGATTTGGCTTAAAATAAAGTTTAATTGAGGCAAAACTTCAACTTGTGTCCAGATCCCCTGCTCCATTCTCAGGACCTTTTAACCAGGTTAGCTCATTTTTGGACAAACATATGCTTCCATGATTTACTAATATGCATTGCATTTTTAGCCAAAAGCTTATCATTTTGGTGTTTTAGACTGTGGTCCAGAAATATAAATTACATTCTTTGACACCATCTGCATAGCCAGCCTTTCACCTCCCATAGCCTTCTTTCTCTTTGAAACTCCCAACTGTTAGTTGGAAGAAGCAATGACAACACCACCTGTGCCCTCACAGCTTCCTAATCAAGAATCTCCAGTCCCAAATGATGTTTCCTGGAAACTACTTTATTGTCTAATTAATTAATAATTAATATTTATTGAGGAGCTATTGTGTGCCAAGAACTGAGCTAGTTAGTTCTTGTCCAGTTGAATAGTAACGAGTCTGGTAATAAACATAGTGAATATTTCTATTGCAATATACAAACAAATGTTGCCTTTCTCCCCACTAAGGGTAGCTCTGTCTTCCTTTGCCCATGCAATTCCAGAGATACACCTAAGATATCTCGAAATAAAATTTCCATTTTATTTTTTCAAAGCTTCTCTTTTTTCTTTTAAAGGTGAGCACTATGTGTTCATTTATACACATTGGGAAATTTAGATAAACAAAAAGAAAAGTATTTTATATTTACATGCTTTAATAAGATCTGGAAGGAGGTATTCTGAATCAAACCTCTCTGTGACATAGGACTTGAGGTGGGTAGAGGTGGAGACTGGAAAAGACATTTTTTTTGTTCATTTCTATGTGGCTTAAATTTTTTTATGATTTTTAATATATATATAAAATAGCTGTTATAATTAAAGAAAAGATCTAAATGTAAAACATGAAACAAAAAATCTTCAAGAATAAATGTTGGGTATTTTCCTAACCTTAGGCTGGGCAAAGGTTTTCTAAATCTATATGCAGAAGCAGAATCATAAATAAAAAGATTTTCACAGCCATTTGCTTAAAAATCTAAGGTTTATGGATATTTATAAAATCACTACAAAGTGCATACAAATAAGTTGGGATTATTTGCAACATATCTGACACATAAGGCATTATTATTTTTATCCTATAATAATCAATATAAAAAAGACAACGTTCCAATGTACCATACTATAATGGGACATTTCATACACACTAAAAATTGTAAATGGAGATGTTTATTAAAGCACGCTCAATTTTACTTGTAATTAAAAAGCTTCATTTGAAACAACTATTACATACTATATTTTTACCAGTGAATTTGCAAAGACAAAAGAAAAACCCATTTTGGTGAGCACAAATAAAATGAAGTATAATGTTATGTATAAAAATTACTCATATGAAAAATATTATCATATTTTGTAACTGAAGTTTTCTTATAGAATTTTTAAAAAAGAAATTATGATTACATCAAAATTTATGTTCAATAATGGATATTATATTGTTATATATTATAACAAAAAATGAAAATAGCAGGTAATCCTAATATAAATTACGGTATGTTCATACTATAGAATAATACTATGCAGTCTTTAGAAATGATATTGGAGAAGAGTATTTAATGAGATGGAGAAATGGTCACAATATATTGTTAGAAGAAAAAAAAGGTTATACATTACAACATAAAGTTTGACTCCAGTTTATAACTCCTCCTCTGTCCCTACAGGCACAAACAGAGGGGTCTTCTCTTCTGTTTTGAAACTTACCTGTAAAAGAGTCTTGATGAGATACAAAAGCAAAAAGGCAGCAGAACATATTTTTGGTTTGGGGGCCATAGTTGATATTAAATTACTTTTCTGTGTGTTTTTTTCTGAATGGTAAGTTTTCTATGATGACTATGTATTATTCTAAACTTAGAATCAAATCAATTATTTAAAGATATTAGGTAAATAGTAGTGGTTATAACTATTAATATTACTGAAAACTTTTAAAGTAAGTTGAAAATTGGATTACCAAAGATAATCCACAAAGTATATAATGAGGACTTTAATGACTTTATACAGCTTTTTATTTTTTTTTTATTTTTTGAGACAGTCTCACTCTGTCGCCAAGGCTGGAGTGCAGTGGCATGATCTCGGCTCACTGCAGCCTCTGCCTCCTGGGTTCAAGCGATTCTCCTGCCTCAGTCTCCCGAGTAGCTGGGACATGCACCACCATGCCCAACCAATTTTTGTATTTTTTAGTAGAGATGGGGTTTCACCATGTTAGCCAGGCTGGTCTCGCTTGAACTCCTGACCTCAGGTGATCCACCTGCCTCGGCCTCCCAAAGTGCTGGGATTACAGGTGTGAGACAGTGCTCCTGGCCTTTATATAGTTTTATATTGTCTCAAAGTGCGTTTCCACACAATTTTTCAAAATAACTCCTCTTATAGTTTGAAATGGAAAACTGGTATTTCCTCTATGTAAAATGCTGTGCAAGTACTACCTCTAATCCCTTTTCCAATGTGATTGCTTCTATGGAACTCCTATACAGAAACTGACAAAAACAGGAGACAAGGAAATACTGAGTAGAAGAGGGCAGTTCCCTGGCAAAGGCCCCACCCTCAAGCCTGGAAACCTGTGGCCCTACATGAGAACAGATATTCCTGTTTTTGAGCCCAAAAGTTGACTTTTGGCCTGCCACACCCCCCATCCTGTGTCCATGTAAACCCCAAAGTCCCAGCTCCACGAGGAAATGAACAGAAGAGCAGAAGAATGGCAGAACGGCAGGGCAGAGAGAAGAGAAGGAGAATATGAACCCCGAGAGGAGTTTGGCTGTGGAGGAGATAGGCCACTGGATGGCCGAACTCCAGGGGAAGGTTGTCTTCTCATTCCATCCCCCTTCCAGCTGCCCATCCATCCCACTGAGAGTCACCTCCACCATTCAGTAAAACCCCTGCATTCATCCTTCAAGTCCGTATGCCACCTTATTCTTCCTCGATGCCAGACAAGGACCTGGGTACCAAGAGGGCACTGAGTTGGTTAACACTTAAGCCATCCACGGATGGCAAAGCTAAAGGAGTGCACTGTAATACATACTCACTTGTGCTTTGGGAGTCACAGGCTCCCACCCGTGGACACTGCTGTGGGGCTACAGCCCAGGGGCACTCACCTCAGCTCCTGCACCTGCCCATCTGTGTGCTCCCGCTCCCATGAGGGGTTTGAGTGCACGCCGTGGCCGAACAGATGAGCCACAACCCTGTTGGACGTCCTGAGGCGGGGTGGGGGGGTGTGCAAGGGAACTCTCCTGTTTCAAAATTATGGAACTGCTGCTGGTATGGAAGTTATTTTCCCTATTTTACTGATGGAGAAATGGAAGTTTAGACAGCAGGTTCTTGTGCAAATTTACATCACTAACAAATTCAAGTACATGGTTGAATCCAGGTCTTCTGTATAACTTTCTTAATGCTCCTTATCTGCCCCAAACTGCCCATCTTCATGGGTAATCTAGAGTTACCATTTTTTTTTCACTTCTGTGATATGTGAGAAGAAAAAGGATTAAAATTTACTTATATTTTATTGTTAGGATTTTACCAGCTTGAGAATATGGCTTGCAGTCTATCAGTGTTTTCTCTGTCTTGCTTTGACCCTGCTGAGAGACAATTTTGAAGGATGTTGTTATGTGTTGAGTTGTGTCTCCCCACCAAGAGATGTTGGAACCCTAACTTTCAGCACCTGAGAATGTGAATAATTTGGAGATAGGGTCATTGCAGATTTAATTAGTTAAGTTAAAATAAAGTCATTAGGATGGATCCTGATGAAATATGACTAATGTCCTTATAAAAAGGAGAAATTTGGACACAGACATACACACATACAAGGAAAATCAAGCTGATGCACCTGCAAGCTAAGGAACACCAAAGGTTGCCAGCAAACTCCTGCAACAGATCTTTCCCTAGTGCCTTCAGAGGGTTGTGCTGACATGTTGATCTTAGACTTCCTCATCTTGCCTCCAGAACTGAGACAATAACTTTTTGTTGTTTGAAGCCACCAGTTTGTGGTACTTTATTATGACAGCCTCCCAAAACTAGTACAGATGCTAAATTGGAAGACATATTTCTGATGTTCAGTAAATTGGCCTTTAGTAGAAATACGCCTTTAAAGTTTAGCAAATTTAATTCTCTAAATCAGATGTTAAAATATACAATGCTTAAAAAAGGCAATCTTGCTCAGTACGTGTACACAGAAATTTATGAATCGTGAAAATTTCATGGTCACTGTAAGAATGAAATAAAATATAAATTCTTATGTTTTTTCTTCTTCTGTATTTTAAAGGATCTATTGGGCTCCCAATCATCATTTCACTTAAAGTTTAGATTTTCTGAGGTTTCAGATCTCCAATTTGGGAATGGGGGAAGGAGTCATCTGTGTTTTGAAGCTTATCAATCAAATTAATTCTGATTTGGGAATTTAGAAATCAAGAAAGAAAGAAAATGAAGTGGAATGATATGGTGTATTATCCAAGGTTTAGTGTAGAAAACAGAAATCACTGTAGGTATTTCAAGCAATTAATATAGGTAATTGGGTGTTTTCTAAACCTTTGGAAAAGATAGGGGTATACAAGTTCAAGGAAGGCCATCACTAGCTCTCAGGTTCACTTTCAGGAAATCAGAAAGTTGCAGGAACCTCACAGAGTTCCTGCAGCACCAAGTTAGGAAGTTCATGTAGAAGTCCTTTCAAATCCTGCATATGTCCATCCACTGCTGCTGGGGGAACAATGACGTAGCAGTTCCTTCTGTCTTACCTTCTAATCATGCACAAGATTAGAAGCTTCTCATTGCCATTCTCTAACCAGAACTCTGCTGTAAGGATTCTGGGAAATGTAGTTCCCAGGCTGTCATCCCTTGAGACACAAGTGAGAACGTAAAGGGATTTTGGAGCTAAATTGCAAATGAATAATCTGCACAGTAAGCAATATTAGATATGGGATCTTTTTTCTGTCTTGGTTCAATCTTTGAGTTTTCCTAAAGTGCAGTTTCCATAATTATCAATTTTGAATATTTCTATTGTAAGTTTAAACCATAAGGTCTCAATTTGCCTTTAAATCAGCACTGATCTTGTCAAATGAGAAAAAATGTTTATTTCTTGAAGAAAGCAAGGGCCTCAGATTTTGGAGTAGCTGCATTAATACTTAGTGTATATATTAATCTGATCAGCTATTTAAACATCAATCAAGATGATGGTCTTCTACTAAGTTGATAGAAATATTTATTGAGGTTACTTGCTCTATACGTTAGAAGAGGCGAGAGTTTACAAGAGTTTACTAGTACGTTGTTCATTGCCCTATGCTAACAGCTCTCCCTAAAATGAAATCCTCAAGGCTAAAACATATGTCATAGTTGCAATTTTTCTGGCAACGTCTGTGAAGACATCCTTGCCATGGTGTTACAGTCAGTGTAAAAGACCTGAGTCAGAAAAATTGAGAGTCCCAGAGTAGAGAAATAAAGAGAGGAAGACAAATGGGAAGATGGCATACTACGAATTTTATTTTATTTTATTTAGGCAGAATCTCTCTCTACTGCCCAGGCTGGATTGCCATGGTGCAATCTCGGCTCACTGCAACCTGCACCTCCCGGTTCAAGCAATTTTCCTTCCTCAGCCTCCTGAGTAGCTGGCACTACAGGCATGTGCCACCACGCTTCACTAATTTTTGTATTTTTAGTAGAGAAGGGGTTTCTTGGCCTCCAGTAATCTGCCCGCCTCGGCCTCCCAAAATGCTGGTATTACAGGTATGAGCTACCATGCCCAGACTGAATTGTATTTATTTGTTGTTTCTTTCTGCCCATACATGTAAGTCACATAATCTCTTTTTTAAATTATACTTTAAGTTTTAGGGTACATGTGCACAAAGTGCAGGTTTGTTACATATATATACATGTGCCATGTTGGTGTGCTGCACCCATTAACTCGTCATTTAACATTAGGTATGTCTCCTAATGCTATCCCTCCCCCCTCCCCCCACCCCACAACAGGCCCCAGTGTGTGACGTTCCCCTTCCTGTGTCCATGTGTTCTCATTGTTCAATTCCCACCTATGAGTGAGAACATGCCGTGTTTGGTTTTTTGTCCTTGCGATAATTTGCTGAGAATGACGGTTTCCAGCTTCATCCATGTCCCTACAAAGGACATGAACTCATCATTTTTTATGGCTGCATAGTATTCCATGGTGTATATGTGCCACATTTTCTTAATCCAGTCTATCATTGTTGGATATTTGGGTTGGTTCCAAGTCTTCGGTATTGTGAATAGTGCTGCAATAAACATACGTGTGCATGTGTCTTTATAGCAGCATGTTTTATAATCCTTTGGGTATATACCCAGTAATGGGATGGCTGGGTCAAATGGTATTTCTAGTTCTAGATCCCTGAGGAATCGCCACATTGACTTCCCCAATGGTTGAACTAGTTTACAGTCCCACCAACAGTGTAAAATTGTTCCTATTTCTCCACAGCCTTTCCAGCACCTGTTGTTTCCATGTCACATAATCTTGAGGTGTTTTGTCTATTTTATTTACTTTTGTGTTCTCAAGTTTAGAACCAAGCATTTAAAAGCTACTTAAATATCTGCTGGAAAAAAAAAATGGGGCCTGAGAATTAGCATTTTAAAAATACTTAGGTGATTCTGATGCAGGTGGTCCTAGAAATACACTTTGGCAAATAAACACTGGTCAAAGTTATAGAATAGTTTAAAAGAAATAAAGTTATACTATTTGTAAGGACAAGTAATTAATTTATAAGAACAGTGATTTTTTACCTGTATGGTCTCAGAGGTGGATATGATTTCTTAAGACATAAAAAATTGATCATAAAAGAAGAGACTGATAAATTCAATTAAATTAAAATAAAGGTTTTTTATTCACTACAAAACACCATAAGTAGGATGAAAAGACAAGTCATAAACTAAGAAAAGTAATTTGCAGCACATGTAACTGACCAAGGACCAGTATCTTTAATATATAAATTACACCAACGAATCAGTAAGAGAAAGACAGGCAATCTGATATAAAAATTTCTGAGACTTCGACAAGCATTTCACAAAATAAATTCAAATGGCTAGTAAATATATGATAATGTGCTCAATTTTATTGATAATCATTGAAATGTAAATTAAAATTGCAATGATATAACGTTCACATTCACTAAATTCACAAAATTTAAAAGATAAATCTACCAATATTAACTGTTGAAGTGAGTATAGATCAATGGAAAACTATACCTTGCTGAGGGAACTATAAATTGATACAGCCATTTTGGAAATACTTTAGTACTTGCAAACTTGAATATGCTCCAGGTCCCAGAATTTCTCTTTCTAGGTATATTCTAGAGATACGCTTGTTTATAAACACCACAAATGTGCAAAAATGTTCCTAGCAGTGTTTTTTGTAATGGAAAAATACTGGTCACAGCCCAAATGTCCATTATCATGAGACTAGATAAATAAAATGGAATAATATACAGTAGTGAAGATGAACAAATCACAGCTATACAGTTATAGCATGAATAAATCTTAAAAATACTGAATGAAGAAAGCAGATTACAAAATCTGGTTTTCATACAGTACAATGTCATTTTTAAAAAAAGTTTGAAAAAAGCAAAGCTTAATTTAGTGTTTAGGAATACATACATATGGAATAACACTATAAGAAAAGTAGAGGAATGATAAACACAAAATTTCAGGATAGTGGTTAGTTCTGGTTGGGATGGGGAAAGAAGCAGATGAGAGAATAAGAAAGGGGCATTGAGGTGAGTACAAGGATGCTGGGAATATTCTAGTTCTTAGGCTAGGTTGTAGAATCATAGGATATTTATTTTTCATTGTTATGCTTTATAATGTATGTACATAGACTTTCTTTTGTCCGTGTGCAGTATTATATAATTAAAAAATCCAATAACCAGGATGATTTATAACTAAGGAAATTTGTAGTTTGTGGCTACTAGATTGTAAATTCTTCGAGGGCAGCTATTTGGTAAAAACAAAATATTCAACAATAATTGGACTCAACAATGAATGAAGAATGTTGTGATATGTGTACACTGATACTTCTAGGAGTGCTTTAAAAATGTACTTAGAAGAGATTGAAGATTGATATCATATGTAGTCCCCCTGTCACTTTGTCTTAATATGCTTGGGATGGCATTTTTTTCCTCACGTAATACAGGGAAATCATCTGACTTCAGGAGAAATCTCAAATTAATGGGATTTGAATGAATATACTTTTATTAATCTGTACAAAATTGATGACCATTTTGTGTACAAACTCAGCATTTGGCCTATGCAGATGTAATTGTTTTCCTGGAAAGAGCTGATAGGAAAAATTAGAAGATTTGATTTTCTGAAAATTTTCTTTTGGAGCCCCACCCACTTGCTCTAAATATGAAGTCAAAACTTTCCTCTATGTACTAAATATGGTAAAAGGATAAGCTGAAATGTAGAAACAAGATAAATCTATGGAATGAAGTGTAGTTTTCTAGAGAATGATCTTTCTACAGATTATTTGGGCCCTTTATCCCAAAGAGATTCTTCTGTACCCCAAACAATAGGACTGGGATAAAATAGCCTTGAACTGCATGCATACAGATTTGAATTCTGCCTACCACACTTAGAAGAATCTGACAGGGAGACACATTCATATCATATTTTAGGAGTTTTTGAGGTCACAAATATTTAACAGTTAGTCTGAGGCCAGTATTGGTCCTGTGGATAGACTGGTCAGTGGATTTGACAGTGAGACAGGTTGGACATCCAAACCAGAAGAACCTAGAACAAGTGAAGTCTCAGATTTTGTGGCCAGTGTGTTAAGGATGGGCATTTAGAGGACCCAAATTGTGGTCAGTGAGGTTTTTATCCTGGGACAATATTGCCAAATGTGAGGTCACGTAGACCCTTAGTGAATCATGATGTGATTTTGCTGCTGCAGTTGAGAAGGTAAGTAACAAATGAGATAAGGTATTATCAGGTTAATACCTTATATACAAAAGCAAACAGCTGCCTTTTTAGAGGGTGGAGAGCTCATGGCATTAACAGAGGGGACAGGAAGGCTGAGCTCAGGGTGGTGTAACACAGCGTGCACATATACAGAGGCCACTAAAGCCCAAGCCATGGCTGCTGCAATATTGGGGTAGCAAATCTGTATTACACAAAGATATTTTTAAAAGGATATTGTTATAATTATCCCAGCCTTGGGACAGAGTATAAAGGGAAGAGGTCATAAAAAGCTAAAGATGTTTAGGATTGCAATGAGATTAAGGTTTAGGTAAAGAAAGTAGAGAAAATATTCTATTCCTCAGCAAATGCATCTTTTTGTTTTTGTGTTCTGGATTTTGCCTTCACTAAGCAATAGAAAATAGTTGAATTAATATGAAGAAAGCCCCTGCTTTAGTTGACTCTCTCTTAGGAGGGAATATGGTGTTGAGAAAAGGGATCTTATTTATGCTTGCTGGGTTGCTGCTGAGACTTGACACATTTACCTTGGACCAGCTCTTGAAGTTGGTGAACCAATGCCAACCAACCTTTGTTCAAGAAGGGGCAGCAACATTGGATGCACCACCAGTGACATCTGTTCCCATGAAGGATTCTTGGATATAGAGAGTGTGGAGCTCTGAGACTTGTAGAGGGGGTTAGTGGAGATGGGTCCTTGAAGGCACTATTGCTTCTATTGACTGTTGACTTCCAATACTTAGGCTTTTGCTTCAAGATCTTGTGTATTTTAGGTATTCAATAAATGTGACGGTTAATACTGAGTGTGAACTTGATTGGATTGAAGGATGCAAAGTATTAATCCTGGGTGTGTCTGTGAGGGTGTTGCCAAAGGAGATTAACATTTGGGTAACACCCTCCGTGGGCTGGGAAAGGCAGACACATCTTTAATCTGGGTGGGCATCATCTAATCAGCTGCCAGAGAGGCTAGAATATAAAGCATGCAGAAACATGTGAAAATATGAGACTGGCCTAGCCTCCCAGGCTACATCTTTCTCCTGTGCTGGATGCTTCCTGTTCCCCAAACATTGGACTCCAAGTTCTTCAGTTTTGGAACTCGGACTGGCTCTCCTTGCTCCTCAGCTTGCAGACGACCTGTTGTGGGACCTTTTGATCATGTGAGTTAATACTTAATAAAATCCCCTTTATATATGTATATATCTATCCTATTAGTTCTATCCCTCTAGAGAACTCTGACTAATACCATAGGCTCAGATGGGTGGATTTAAAAGGCTTGTTAGAAAATACTCCGTATTCTCTAGGTAACTCAGTAGTCAGCAGAATGATTCTGTAAGTATCAAACACTAGGAAGGATAGTGTGATGGCCTCTGAGGCAGTCACTGAGGTCTCTAAATTAGTTTGGGAGCAGAAGGCAAAGATAAAGAAAAA
This sequence comes from Homo sapiens, assembly GCF_000001405.40. NCBI lineage: Eukaryota > Metazoa > Chordata > Mammalia > Primates > Hominidae > Homo > Homo sapiens. The sequence continues at coordinate 100,844,515 of NC_000009.12, forward strand.
TAATTAGATCTATAAGCAAATTTAAGACTCTCATTATAAAGTATTAACCTGATAATAGCTTATAATGAGAGGTTATAAGGTATTATCTTATTTGTACTTTCTTTAAACAGAAAGTGATAGAAGATTGATTTTAGATTTGGTATAAAATTTTATCTTAAATCCAAGATTTGTAATTGCTAGAATGTAAGTTGTCATGTGAGGAAATTTCAATATTCCAGTCCTGGGGAAAATGATTGTTTTTTTCCTAGAGTTAATCTTTTTCACTTGAAAACTGCAATTTTTTGCACAGTTCTTGGTCCTTAGGATACAATGATGGTTTAATAATCTCATCTGACTTGGTTACAGCGTCTCTACAGTGGCCCCAACAATACGCTGAATAGACTTAGTTGTGCTGACTGCACAGTAGAGAAATGATTAATAGCCAAACAGCCAAATCTGCCCAAAGTGATTGCACCATACCTCATCTCAGTTTCTCACATTTTTTCATTAAAATGGTAGATTGATTTTTCTGCTTTCACGGCTTCTTCAGTGTAACGTGGTGCATTTCTTGCCTGGCAGTTGTAAAGCTGAGCTCTTGTTATTCTGTGTGCATGTGCACATGTGAGTATGGTTGCATATGTGCTATAGTGCAAAAGTTCTGGACTGGGTGGTAGGAAATCTACGTTTATTTTTACTTCCTGTACTCATGGTCTAGGTGACTTAGTGAAAACCACTGCCTCTTTGAACTCTTAAATTTTGCAATAGCAGTGTTTCTTTTATTTTTTATTTTTTTTATTCTTGCCATCCTTAAAACGTATATGAGAGCAATACTCACTCAGCATTGCTGGGTAAGCCAGTGAGACGCCATGGTGTAATGGTGAGGATCAGCGGTACTCTCTGCTTTTCAGGTAGTGTTTCCACAGTTGCCTGAATATGGCTATTGTGAGCTTCAAGTGAGAATGTATCTGCACCAGAAAATCAACCTCCTCCAATGAAATAACAACTTCTCTTCTAACAATGATAAATCTTGATGCCTTTTTAACATAAGATAAAAACATGGTAAGAGAGCTGGGTGGGGTGGCTCATGCCTGTAATCCCAGCACTTTGGGAAGCTGAGGCAGGCGGATTACTGGAAGTCAGGAGTTTGAGAGCAGCCTGGCCAGCATAGTGAAACACTGCCTCTACTAAAAATACAAAAATTAGCTAGGTGTGGTGGTGTGCGCCTGTAATCCCAGCTACTTGGGAGGCTGAGGCATCAGAATCGCTTGAACCTGGGAGGCAGAGTTTGCAGTGAGCCGAAATCGTGCCACTGCACTCCAGCCTGGGTGACAGAACGAGACTATATCTCAAAAAACAAAAACAAACAAGTAAAAACAAAAACAAAACCAAAAAACATGGTAATACATCTGACATTAATCTTTAGTCACTACTTTACTCATTTGAGAATTAGGAAGAGATCAGTTAAACATCTTAAAGGTAAGGGTAAAAGTATATACATGGCTTTGGTCCTTTCTTTACACTTTTTCTGTCTTCTCCACAAAATAATTGGCGTCCACAGTGGGCCTCAGTGACTGACATTGGGAGCTTTCAGATGACTTCTCCATTAGCTCTCTGTATGACATTAGATGCATTCAAGTACATAGTAGATATTTTTATGTTGTTAGAGCTTCCCAATTTTATATTAGAATAGATGTTCTAGCTTCTAAATGAGTTGCCTTGAAGTACAGGAGTTTAGAGGTCACAGAAAGCCTATCTTCATTTAAGGAACATATTACATTTCAGGTATTTTAACTAATGGTACCCATTACTAAACCCTGATGTAGTGGATTAATAGAATACCAGACCTGAAGGCCAAGAATCTTTTTTTAAATTTTTTTTTTAAGTTTCAATAGGTTTTTGGGGAACAGATGGTGTTTGGTTACATGATGAGTTCTTTAGTAGTGATTTCTAAGATTTTGGTGCCCCCATCACCCGAACAGTGTACACTGTACTCAATGCAGTCTTTTATCCCTCTCCCTCTTCCATCCTTTCCCCAGAGTCCCCAAATTCCACTGTATCATTCTTATGGAAGGCCAAGATTCTTAAGGGAAATTGATACCTTCATGAAGGAAAGTCTGATGTTTTCTGTCTCATAGAGTTCCCTAACTATGCAGCCACAAATAGAAAGGAGATCCTTGTGTATATGGCAGGAAGAGAATTCCCAGTTTTCATCATAACTAAAAAAATTCTGTGACTCGTGAGTTCAGCCAGAAAGGTGAGGTGACTTTTCTGTCTCTCCATAAGTCAGTCCCCAATAAACTCTCTCCATACCTGCTGTATTAGTCAGGGTTCTCCAGAGGGACAGAACTAATAGGATACATGTATATATGAAAGGGAGTTTATTAAGGGGAATTGACACACGCGATCACAAGGTGAAGTCCCACGATAGGCCGTCTGCAAGTTGAGGAGCAAGGAAGCCAGTAGTGGATCAGTCCAAGTCCCAAAACCTCAAAAGTAGAGAAGCTGACAGTGCAGCCTTCAGTCTCGGGCTGAGGGCCCGAGAGCCTCTGGCAAACCACTGGTGTAAGTCCAAGAGTCCAAAAGCCGAAGAACATGGAGCCTGATATTTGAAGGCAGGAAGCATTCAGCATGGGAGAAAGATGAAGGCCAGAAGACTTGGCACCTCTGCTCATTCCACCTTCTTCTGCCTGCTTTTTCTAGCTGCACTGGCAGCTGAGGGGATGGTGCCCACCCAGATTAAGGGTGGGTCTGCCTTTCCCAGCCCACTGACTCAAAAGGTCATCTCCTTTGACAGCGTCCTCAGAGACACACCCAGGAACAATACTTTGCATCCTTTAATCCAATCAAGTTGACACTCAATATTAATCATTATATCTGCTTAAACTAGTGTTTGCTGTGCTTTGCTATCTCAATTCAATATGTGCAAAAAGGTGCTCTATTTTTTTCCAGCCAAACCTAACTTTTTCTCCAGTGCACCATAACTCAATATATAGCACCAGCTACCCAAACCTTGAAAACCCAGGTGTTTCTGGTGTTTGTTATTTCACTTCTTCTCCCTCTATCTTCAATCATTCAAATATTTTTGCTTGTATATCTTCTTTGTCTCTCCAATTTATTAACATTCCTCTATTTTCAGCACCACTTTCTTGGTTCAGGCCAGTGGTCTTCAGAGTGTGGCATGTGCATTCGGGGATGTGTATAAGACAATCTTTTGGGATGTAAAATAAAATACTGGATTTCTGTTTCTATCTATTTTATTTTGTTTCATTTATTTATTTTTTGTTAGTTTTATTAATACAATAATACACATTTATATTTTATACATATATAAATGTGCATAAAATAAGAGCATATTGCTCAAGATTATTTTAATGATATGAGTGCATGATCAAAACATTTAGGCAACAGTAGGTTAGGTCTTCATCATTTCTTACCTATACTGCTGCAATGGTTTGCTCTCTGAAAATGTTGATATGTTTTACTCTCCTCTAATCCCATCCACTGATAATAGGTGTTTATTACTAAAATGTAAATCTGATCATGTTTCTCTCTTGCTTTAAAACCTCAGTGGTTCCCACTTTTCTCAGAATAAACCCTAGATATTAATGACCCTCAAATTCCTTCAAATGTCCTTTGCTTTCCCCCTCCACCTTTGTTTCTAGCTGTTCACTCCTTTGCCCTCTAAGTTCCAGACATACTGAGCTACTTGTTTGTCAAATGTACCATTCTCTCCTCTCCTCTGTTTTGGGGTTTTGGATGTGCTCATCCCTTTGTTTGGAAAGCGCTTGGTTTCCAGTTCAGTCCCACCTCTCCTGAGATTGACTTCAGATCTCAATGTAGATGTCACTTTCTCTAGGAGCTTTCCCAACCACCTGTATTGTGCTTCCTAGCACAATATAATATGTTTATTATAATTGTATGCTTATTTATCTCTCTCCTTGACTAAAGAGTAAACATCTTTTCCCACTGTTTTATCCCTGGGGCATAGTACAGTGCCCGGTACATATAGCTCAAATATTTGTTGAACAAATGGATAAAGTAATTAATATTGTCACTGTATTAGTCAGAACTACAGTCTTGATGACCCATCTAATCTCCAAGATGTATTCTGAATGTCCATATATTCAACATTTGTTTTACGCCAAACATGGAGATTTCTATTTAAGAGTATTATCTGCCACTGTAACCAACCTCTGTTTTATGGGGAATCTCTCCCATCCTCCAAGGACAAAAGCTTGCATTGCTGCTAAGAGGAACTATTTTTATGTTTCCAATTTGCCATAAAAAGAAGAATGCACATTATAGTTGTCTATTATTTCTTTTTCTAAAAGGTAGCAAATTTTTGCACTTCTAGGACAAAAAGGCATTGCTAAGGCTTTTTGCTTGTAGCATGGAAAGCAGTAAAAACCTGGCAGAGAGGAAGTATGATTCAGTTTCCTAGCAGTGGTTATTACTCAGAGTTAAGGACATTTCATCATTATTACTGCATTTATAATATGGTGCTTGAAGGTTGGTGCTCCACTAATAAAGGAAAATACCAGGTGCAAATAAAGTCAGTAAAAAGAATATGTTCACTGTGAGTAAGTTAATTATCAAATAACAACTTATCTAATAGAATATCTTGGAGATCTCAATGCAAGGACCATTTTGAAGTTCACACCAGGAAAGGAGACCACATTATGAGAGAGAAAATAAGCAAACACTATATCTGGTCATATTTTGATTTTAGGTTATTTATATTCTGTCAGGCTCTTAAAATTATTTAAGGTATCTTACAAAAAACCACATATAATAGTAATAAGATAAAATAAATTGAAAATAGACATGAAAAATGAGGCAAAAAAGAAAAATAAAGTTACAAAATTATGAGGGAGTCTGGAATTAGCTTAGTACCAGAAAAGGCAAAATTCCTGGAAGACAACCTAGGCAGTACCATCCTGGACATAGGAATAGGCAAAGATTTCGTGACAAAGACACCAAAAACAATTGCAACAAAAGTAAACATTGACAAATGGTACCTAATTAAACTAAAGAGCTTCTGCACAGCAAAAGAAACTATCAACAGAGTAAACAGACAACCTACAGAATGGGAGAAAATGTTTGCAAACTCTGCATCTGACAAAGGTCTAATATCCAGTATGTACAAGGAACTTAAATTTACAATTGAAAAACAATCCCATTAAAAAGTGGGCAAAGGACATAAACAGACACTTTTCAAAAGAAGACATATATGCAGCCAACACGCATATAAAAAAAAGGCTCAACATCACTTGTCATAAGAGAAATGGAAATCAAAACCATAATGAGATACCATCTCACACCAGTAGTAATGGCTATTAGTAAAAAGTCAGAAAATAACAGATGCTGAAGATGTTGCAGAGAAAAGAGAACACTTATACACTGTTGATGGGAGTGTAAATTTGTTCAGCCGTGTGGAAAGCAGTATGGCGATTCTTGAAGCGCTGAAAACAGAACTACTATTCAACCCAGCAATCTCATAACTGGGTGTATGCCCAGAGGAGTAGAAACCATTCTATCATAAAGACACAGGCATGTGAATGTTCATTGCAGCACTATTTAAAATAGCAAAGACATGGTATCAACCTGAATGCCCATCAATGACAGATTGGATATAGAAAATATGGTACATATACACCGTGGAATACTAGGCAACCATAAAAAGAACAGGGTCATGTCTTTTGCAGGAACATGGATGGGGTTGGAGATTACTATTAGCAAACTAACGGAGGAAAAGGAAACCAAATTCTCACTTATAAAAGTGGGAACAAAATGATGAAAACTCATGAACATAAGAAGGGGAACAACAGACACTGGGAGGTGTGGAGGGTGGGAGGAGGGAGAGGAGCAGAAAACCTTCACATGTACCCCTGAACCTAAAATAAAACGTTATTTTAAAAAGACGTCTTATGCACTTGTCAGGAGAGGGATGAAAGTTGGATTGAACCTTCCTGTATGCCAGAATTCCAGGGAAATATGATTCACAATGCAATTCATAACGTTGGTAATATAATGAGACATTCCTCTCATGGATATTTATAGATAGATCATTTTGAAATCTAGATGATGGCATCAACAATATTCATTTAGAAATTGCGATAAAGTACACATAACATATAACAGTTGTCATTTTAACTATTTTAAAATGTACAATTCAGTGGTATTAAGTACTTTCACATTATTGTGCAACCATCAGCACCCACGATCTATTTCCAGAACTTTTTCATTAGATGAAAACCCCACACCCATGGAATAGTCACTCCCCTGGCAACCACAATTTGTTTTTTTGTCTAAACAACATTTTTACAGTAAACACAACAAATAATTTCATAACCCTATGTATTACAATGCCACAGTTAGCAGTGGATGACATCATGCCATTTCTGTGTTTGTGTTCAAGTCTTTTATAATTCTGACTGTCTAGAAAAACTGATTTGGCAGAAGAAGAGAGGGTGGATGGCCTCCTTCACCTTGGAAACCACCAGGATCAACACCTGGGGAGAACTGTTTTATCTACATGATTGTGTTGGAAAAATTTCTACAGAGAGATATTTACCAGAGAACTATGGGTGTTAGTTTGGAGACTCAGAAAGACTTGGATCAAGTCAGTTGATGAGTGACTTATAGCTAAGAATTACTGAACTATCTTAGAACTTATCACAACCCTAAGCATTAACTAAATTCTTGCTGTTGGTGAGGCTAATCTAGGTGAGGACCAGAAGGAAGCCACATTGTTTATCCTGAAAGAAAAAGAAACAAGTGTGAAGATTTCGAGAGCTGGAGGTGAAACAAGTATCACTCAGCCTACAGAGGTAAATTCTAGATAAGCAAGGTTTTGAAGGGATTAGTGGGGATAGATGGGATTGGGGATTTTAAATTCAGCATGGGACTCAGTTTGTAACTGGGCTCTGTGATTTTTTTGCTTCCAATGTGCCAAGAAGAAAGATTAGTTGATTTTTCCCTGTCCCAATATTTTATTAGAATTCAGAATAAATGAGTAAGAGTGGACATTTGATTCTGAACACGTAACACAAATCAAGATGTGGAGGCTTTGTATTTTGGGTTCTGCTCAGAATTATTTTTTTCTCAGCCATGATTTCCAGTCATTTGATGAGCTCTATTTATTTGGTGTTTTCAGTTTTTTTTTTAAATCTGTGACTTCCCTTCCATTCTCAGTTTTATTGTCCTAATTGAAGCCCTTATCACCTTTTGTCTGAATGACTACTGTAGCTTTTCAGTTGATCTTCCACTTCTCAAGCTCCTGACAATCTCTGTTTAAATGGTTCAAACTTTTGCCAGAATAAATATCCTAAAAAACTGTTTTGATCGCTCTGCTATTATCACTTTTCTCTTCACGGGCCTTCAATATAAGAAATAAGTATATGTTAATGGCACCATCAAAATAAGCAGAGAAGAAAGGATCATTCAAAAAGTTGTGCTTAGACATGAGTTATTTACTTAGGGAAAATTCCCATGTAAATCTTCTGCTATATATTATAATAAACTGTGGGTGTATTAATGACATAATAAAGGTACCCAAAGAAAACATGGGTGAATGTTTTTTTCAGAATGAAGTTTAGGTAAAAGGCTTTCTAATGGGAGAAATAAGGAAAATGACAGATTGATTTGACAACACTAAAATTTAAATTCTCTAGGTCAAAAATACCATAAACAAAAAAGTATACACAAAGCTGGCTAAAATGCCTAATTCGTATGAGAGGTCCTGGCCTTTTTATTCTCTAGCTCCAACCACAATAACCTAGTGGCAATTACGAGAAACAACCAGACCCTTCCTTGCATGTGCTGCTCCCTCTGCCTGGAATGTTCTTCCTACACATCCTCCCATGTCTGGCCCTTCCTCGTGCTTTAGGTCTCAGGTCAAACATTTTTTTCTTACGAAGGTTTTCTCTGTTAACCCTCTCTAAAGTAGCCAGCCCTCACTGTCCTCCCATTTATGACTTTCACTCTGTCACATTACTTGTTTTGTGTTCTGTCACTAACTGATTGATCTTATTTATTTGTTTTATCTGTTCCCTAGAATGCAAACCTCATGAATGTATATGTCTTGTTCAGCAGCACCTACACTTGTTTTTGACAAGTGATACTAAATGAGTATTTGTCAAATAGGTGAGTGAAGGAATGAATATGTATATGTGTAAATAAAAAACTGAAATAACATATAGCAAAATGCAATAACAGGGTTATTTATAGGAGGAATTTTGTCGATAATTCCTTTTTTCTGTCTTTTCCAAATTTTCTAAAATGAATACCTATTAATTACATTGATTGTTAGAATAATAAATAAATGGTATTTGATGGAAGCCACATCTTAATAAATGATAGCATCTATAATGTCAATTTGTTAATCTCAATTAGTTTGACAAAAGATAATAAACTATGCATACTATAAAGAACAAATTTCCTAGAAATGAGAGTGTCAACTTGCATCGTCTTAAAGTATTCACACATCTAACACATCCAGTTAGCTTAACTGAATAATGTAGAAATTGGGCCAAAAACCATCAACTAAATTGGATCCCCTTTTAAGATTCTAAAATAAAACTTGTCAAATGCGGAGAAAAATAATTTTAAAAAGTCAAGTACTACTTCTTAGTTTCAATAAATAGTTGCCAGGGGTTAGTCTCCTTGAATCTACCAGACATTAATAAGGACAGTTGAGGAAAAGACCTGACACAAAACAGTTTGAACATATCAGTGAAACTATCTGCATAACTATCTAAAATAGAGACAGTATGATGCTGGAAAGGTCTGTTAGAGTCTTGTACCCATTCTGAAAAGTTATCTGTCATATATAAACCTTGTTTAACTGACCAATTCAACATGGAAAAAAAAGCATCAGTTTTTTTCCCCCAGGATTGCAAATTTGTTTGTTGGTCATAATTAAGATTTGGCCAGATCTTTTTTTTTTTTTTTTCTAGACAGGATCTCACTCTGTTGCCCAGGCTGGAGTGCAGCAGTACAATCCTGGCTCACTGCAACCTCCACCTCCCAGGTTCAAGCGATTCTCCTGCCTCAGCCTCCTGAGTAGCTGGGATTACAGGCATGTGCCACCATGCCTGGCTAATTTTTGTATTTTTAGTAGAGATGGGGTTTCACCATGTTGGCCAGGCTGGTTTTGAACTCCTGATCTCAAGTGATCCACCTGCCTTGGCTTCCCAAAGTGCTGGGATTACAGGTGTGAGCCACCATGCCTGGTCTTTGGTCAGGTCTTGTATATAAAGTGATGATACCTTAAACGACCTCAAATAGTCAAGTTGTTAGGAGTGAAAGTGAAATAAGATGTAGTAGCCCTGTGTTTTATTCATTCACTTACTCATAAAATCAGCACTGAATGTGAATCAGACACTGTTGGGTACTGGGATGCAATGGTGAACAACACATATGATGCCTATCCTTGAGGAGCTTACCTTCTAGGAAGGAACACTTAAACAGTTGGATGAACAAACAAAAGAGGTACTGATTCTGATAAGTGCTAAGGAAGAAATTTTCCATAAATAATGATAGGGTAAGAAACAATAAACAGAGAGAGGGATAAGGGAGGGCTTCTTCAAGGAGGTGATATTTAGACCACGACCTAAGAGGATGAGAAGGAGCCAGCTATGTGGAGAGCTAGTATTAAGTATTAAGGTGTCCCAGGACCAGTGCAGAGAGAGATGTCTGGGAAATGTCAGAATCCTGTGTGACAAAGCAAAACAAGCAGAGGAAATGTGAGATGAGGTTGGAAAGGCACGCAGAGGCCAAGTGCCACAGGACATTGTCATATTTAATTTTAAATACCATGGAAAGACACTACAGTGTTTTAATCAGGAGAGAGTGACAGGAGTTACAATACCATGGGACGCCAATAAAGGTTTTAATGGGGAGATGGCAGAATTCAATTTTAAACGATCATTTTTGCTATTACTTGGAGATTGAATTTTAAGGGGACAGAAGTAACAGCAGGAAGACTAGTCGGGAGATGACTGTAGTCATCCAGATGAAAGACTAGGGTTGGACCACAGTTTTGGCAGTGCAGGTGGAAAGAAGTGAACATATCCATGCTATATTCGGAAGTATTGCCCGTATGGAATGCTGTGGGACTAGATACAGGAATTTAGAAAACAATCAGGTTGAGTCCCAGGCACTGTCCTCACCATCTGGATGCAAAATATAGGATGCGGAGACCAGCAGAGCTTCTAATTATGGTACTTTAAAATTGATACGGTTTTAAAAATATTCAAGCAAAGATACCAAGTAAGCAGTTGGCAGTGAGGCTTAAGCTTGGAGGAGAGATCTGGAATGGAGATTCAAAATGAGGAGATTATAGTGTTAGGGTCTTTAAAGCTGTGGGAATAGGTGAGGCGAAGGAAGAAAATGTGGAATTAGATGACATTATTGTATCTATGTAATAATTTCCTAATTTTGATGATTGTATTGTTTCTATGTAGGAGAATGTTTTCATTGGAAAAAATACACAGTAACATAGTTAATGGTGAGGGGGCATTTTGTTGGCTATTTACATTCAAATATTTCAGATAAAAAATTTTTGTACTATACTTGCAACTTTTCTGAGGGTTTGAGATTGTTTAAAAATAAAAAAGTTAAATAATTTTTTTTTAAGAAAGGCCCGAGAATGAGTTTTAAGATTTATGGAAAAATACGAACAGCCAGCAAAGGAGACTGAGTGGGAGGGACCTACAAGAGTGCAGTGTTAGAGAAGCTGAGAAAGAAGAGGACTGTGTCTCAATAGGGAGGCAATGGCACAGCTATGAATAAGAGTAAGATGTGAACAAAAGATATTTATTAGATTTGGTAACAATGAAAATCATTGGTGATTTTTTTTATAAGAGTGAGTTTGCTAGACCTGTGGATATAGAAACCCCATTGAACCATTTGAATCAATTTCTTAGTCAAATGATCATATAAAATGTTGAAAGTTTCAGTAATGTTTTGTCGCAGACACTGTAAGTCCTCAACAAGGTCCCTTTGGATTCGTTTACCTTTTCCTTGTACACAGGCTCCAGGTGCTCCAGGTGTACTTTCATTCCCAGCAGCCAGTCCCTGTATTCATTTGCTGTGGGGCTGCACGAAGGCTGCTGGAGTCTAATTTGTCTGCCCAGCTGGAGAGAAGGATGTACTTTCAGGGTTCATGAGGGGCAGCCTTAACCAAAATTAAGCCAGGTGGGAATACAAATATTCCAGCTTTGTTGTTTTATGCTACCACAACTACATGGTCAGTCTCCAGAATTCCCTTGCAGACTGAGCTCACTGTAGGACTTTTCTTGATATCATATCCTTGCTCAGCCTTTTTTTTTGGTTTCCTATCCCAATTCTGCATTTTTCCACCAGTTTTCTTTGAGAAACTTCCTAATAAATCACTTCCCATGTATCCTTATCTTAGGTTCTCCCTCAGGGATAGCACCTAAAACACTTAAAAACAACAACAGCAAACAAACATCAACCTCATTGGTGGCTTATTGATGTCCATCTTGTTTATAGAATAAAAACCATCTGCTCAAACTCTGTCTTCATTATTTATAAGACATATTCAAAGTGGTTTAGTGCTTTCACTAGGCTGTTTTCATTAAATGAAAAAAGAAATGTGTGTGAAAAATTGACATACTTGCTATACACCTCAAAAACATTTACTTAAAATTTCCTAAAATGGAGCAACTTAAGGAAAAATGGAAATGGAAGGGTAAATATAGTATTTACATAGTAAGCACTTCTGCAGTTACTCATACCGTCAATTTACTGGATTGAATTCCAGCTATTTTTAACTACTTTAGATTTGGGCTTTATTTAAACAAATAATTTATTTTTCACATTTTAATTTATTTAGAAGCTGAGTTTCAAATATTTTCTAAGAGACTCTTGACTCTGTTAAAGGTGGCAGGCACAATGCCAACAGGAAAGGCCACGTTGGCTCTCTTAATGATGACATCATTATTGGAGTCAGTCAGCCTTAAAAACTTTGGCTTCTGTTCTCCTAACCATCACAGAGTTGCATTCATCACATAATGACATCTCTGCCACACTTGTCTTCCTATATATGCCTACTGTCTCCACCTTATTTTAAGCCTATACCCCTTAACCCGAATTTCATAGTGGCCTTCTAACTGGTGTTCCTTCGTTTAATTGCTCATCCTTCCCATCTCACCTATAATGGAGGTGGGAGCATAGATTTTAGTATGTCACTTTGCAAGTTAAAGACCTTCACAAACTTCACACTGTCAGCAGAGTAAAGTCACTTCCCACACTGGTCAAAGCTCTGGTTCAACTCATGCCTTGGTTGAGATGTTAGACCAGATACCCTCTGAATTTCCTTCTGTATTAGTTTCCATCACTGCTGTAACAAATTACCACAAGCTTGGTGGCTTAAAACAACACACATTTATTTTCTTACACTTCTGGAGGTCAGAAGTTTAAAGTGGGTCTCACTGGGCTAAAATGAAGTTGTTAGCTGGCCTGTATTTTTTTCTGGAGGCTCTAGGGGAGAATCTACTTGCTGACCTTTTCTAGTTTTTAGAGGCCGGCTGTATTCCTTGGATTGTGGTATCCTTTGTCTATCTTCAAAGCCAAAAATGTCAGATTGCATCTTTTTCATGTTGTCACCTCTGGTTTTCCCTATTCTGCTTCCCCCAAGATGACCCATATGATGACATCAAGTAATCTCTCTCGCCCTTTCCTCCAGGTTAGGCCACTGAGAGACACCAGCAGGAGATCAAAGAGCATGATGAGTTTGAGCTTTATTATTCTAGTCTCCTTCCTTCTGGGTCTCTACAGGTTAGGTATCTACCAGTCTTCAAAATGCCACAACTCCTGGGAGGTGGCCAGCGCTGTACAGCTTTTCTCTCTGGATCTCACCAACCACTCCCTTCTCACGTGCCTTCAGGCATAGAATGGTGATGGTTTCTGGTTGTAACTGACTGTGAACGTTTCATCTTGAGTTTGTCTGGGAATTTCTGGGTTTTAACACTGGAAGTCCTAAATTCAGAAAACTTTTAGGTTTTGGCCAAAAAAGTTGGCCACCCTACTGTTAACTAGGCTCTAAATCCTGCTGCTCCTTTGCAAATTTTTTTTTCATTATGATCTCAAGTTCTCAATTTGAGTGTATCATGTTTCCTTTTGAGACTCTAATAAATAAAGCATGCTTGTCATGTAAAGCATTTACAATTTATCCTTAACATTTGTACTTTTGAAAGATCACTCTGTTTGTAATATGGAGAGCCAATTGAAGTGGGTCAGAATGGAAATGGGGAGACAGAAAGTTGTTAGAGTGGTCTAACTGAATCATGGTCATGCCTGAACTAAGGTCACATAAGTAAAGAAGGAGAGAAGAAGCAAGAAGTAAGAAATTTAAGTAAGGCAGAGACACCAGGATATGGCGATTAATTGGACGTGGGTGAACAGAGATAGAAAGAAGCAATGATGACATAGAGGATTTTGCTGGGGGCTTGTGGGTGGATTGTGGTGCTACTCACTGAGACAAGAAACCTTGGAGAAGGTTTGGGTTTGGTTGGGAAGGCTGGGTGTGTAATTTCTCCATCAATAGGTTTTATTTTCAAATTATTAAATAGGCTTTGTTGTGAATTATGATCAATAGAAATCATAAATTTATTAATGTTCTGAGTTCATATGTGATCAAAAACTGACTATAGTTGTCATTAATAGTGCTGAGAAGACCAGCAAAACCTAATCTTTTTGGGGAAGGTTTTCTTAGTCTTGTGAGTTTCTGAATGTCTACAAAGCAGATTAGCATGTACTTTATGACAGTAAAACTGGAAGACCAAGATTGGACTGGACCTTCTATTTGAGACTACAAGGTGTGAGACAGAATTTTATGAGAAAGGAAAATTCTATCAGAGTATGAATCTTCCAGCTTTGGTGATATTCTTATTCTGGCCGTGCCCAGCAGGCATGGAATAGAAACTTTTGAATTGGAGTGGACCTATGAGCATGTGTAACAAATGGCTTTGTATATCTTGGGAATATTTGCAATGCCTGAGTGTCTGTGTGGGACATTTAAGTGTGAGTAACACTTGAGTAAGTTCTAGACGTAGCTGGAGTCAATAAATGCTTTAATCAATATACCATGGCATTTATAACTTGTATCACAGCTCCTCTTAAATCTATAGGTGATTATGTCCTGCAACACACCATTTCCATGCTTTTGTTCACATGGTCCCAGATGCTGCAAATTTTCTCATCTGGAAGCAATTTTTTCTACTTGCATTTTCATAATACTCAACTTGCATATGACTTGTGATGTACATCATGTCCTGCCTTTTGTGGTGGGGGGTGATTTGTACACATGCTGTCTCCTTTAGAAGATGCAAAAACTGTCAGACTCTGAGTCCACTCCCTGGTAAATCTCTGTGAGTTTATCTCTGTGTGACTCGTAAATTCCTATTGCTATTTGTCTCTGTCCATTTGGGTTACTATAACAAACTACCATAGATTAGGAGGCTTATAAACAACAGCAATTTATCTGTCACAGAGGCTAAGAAGTCTAAGATCAAGGCCTGCCAAGATTGGCAGTCAGTGTCTGGTGAGGGCCTGTTTCCTGGTGCAGAGATGGCTGTCCTCTAGCAGAGTGCTCGTGTAGTGGAAGAGGCAAGAAAACTCTCTCAGGCCACTGGGAAATAAGGGCACTAATACTATTCACAAGGCCTCTATCCTCATTACCTAATCACCTTCCAAAGGCTTGCCTCCAAACACCATCATATTGGGGGTTAGATTTCAACATATGAATTTTGGTGGGACATACATTCAGTCCATAGCACTATTTTTATTATTTTATTACTTTAATTTCAACTTTTATTTTGGGTTCATGGGGTACATGTGTAGGTTTGTTACATAGATATATTGTGTGATGCTGAAGTTTGGAGTACAAATGACATTGTCACCTAGGTAGTAAGCATAGTATCCCATAGGTAGTTGGTAGTTTTTCAGCTTTTACCCCTTTCTTTCTCTTCCCCCCTTTAATAGTCCCTAGTGTCCATTGTTCCTGTCTTTGTGTCTATGAGTACCCCACGTTTAGTGTCCACTTATAAGTGACAACATGTGGTATTTAGTTTTCTGTTTCTGTATAAATTCGCTTAGGATAATGGCCTCTTGCTTCACCCATTTTGCTGCAAGGGATATGACTTTATTCTTTTATATGGCTGCATCGTATTCCATGGTGTATGTGTACCACATTTTCTTTATCCAATCCACCATTGATGGGCTTCTAGATTGATCTGATATCTTTGCTATTGTGAATAGTGCTGCGATGAATATAGTAGTTTGTGTGTCTTTTTGGTAGTATGGTTTATTTTCCTTTGTGTATATATCCAGTAATGGAATTGTTGGGTTGAATGGTATTTCTATTTTAAGTTCTGTGAGAAATCTCCAAATTGCTTTCCACAGTGGCTGAACTAATATACATTCCCACCAACAGTATATGTGTTCCCTTTTCTCTGCAACCTTGCCAACATTTGTTATTTTTTGACTTTTTAATAATGGCCATTCTGACTGGCATGAGATAGTATCTCATTGTGTTTTGATTTGCATTTCTCTAATGATTAGTGATGTTGAGCATTTTTTCATGTGCTTGTTGGGCACGTGTATGTCTTTTTTTGAGAAGTGTCTGTTCATGTCCTTTGCTCATTTTTAAAAATAGAGTTGTTTGTTCTTTGCCAAGGCTGATGTCCAGAATATTTCCTAGGTTTTCTTCTAGAGTTTTTATAGTTTTAGGTTTTATATTTAAGTCTTTAATCCATCTTGAGTTGATTTTTGTATATGGTGAAAGGAAGGGGTCTGGTTTCAATCTTCTGCATATGGCTAGCCAGTTATCCCAGCATCATTTATTGAATAAGTAGTCCTTTCCCAATTGCTGGTTTTTTTTTTTTGTTTTTTTGTTTTCTTGAAACAGAGTTTTGCTCTGTTGCCCAGGCTGGAGTGCAGTGGTGTGATATCGGTTCACTGTAACCTCCACCTCCCATGTTCAAGTGATTCTCATGTCCCAGCTTTCAGAGTAGATGGGGTTACAGGCATGCACCACCATGCTGGCTAATTTTTGTATTTTTAGTAGATATGGGGTTTCGCCATGTTGGCTAGGCTGGTCTCGAACTCCTAGTGTCAAGTCATCTGCCAGCCTTGGCCTCCCAGAGTGCTGGGATTATAGGTGTGAGCTACTGTGCCTGGCCCCCATTGTTTGTTTTTGTCAACTTTGTTGAAGACAGATGGTTGCAGGTGTGCAGCTTTATTTTTTGGTGCTATAACCTGTTCCATTCATCTAGTGTCTGTTTTTGTATAAGTGTCATGCTGTTTTGGTTACTGTAGCCTTGTAATATAGTTTGAGGTTGGATAGTGTGATGCCTTTGGCTTCGTTCTTTTTGCTTAGGATTGCTTTGGCTATTTGGACTCTTCCTTGGTTCCATATGAATTTTGGAATAGTTCTTTCTATTTCTACATAGCACTGTTTTTAAAGTTTTGTCTTATACCTGCTGGTGTCTGATCTCTACTCCACCACCTGGCAATCTTGATATCCCCTTTCTCTTACTCTCATATTAACCTGGTCACCTTTAGGAGGATTTTGCTGGGGGCTGTGGGTGGATTGTGGTGCCTTGCTTCTAAGGAGGGCTACTGAACTCTTGCAGCCTTTTGTAGCCTGCTCTGGATACCTGGAATGTGAGACTTTTTTCCTTAGCCAGCAGTGAGAGATATTCTATAGGTACCTTGCAGTATTTTACTTCCAATAATGTCTTCAAGGCTAGTGTCCCATGTCCCATGAATGACCCCGCAGGTCCTTACATTCTCTTTTTTTTCTCAGTTTAAAAAATGTGGTAAAATACACATAGAATTTAGCATCTTAAGTATTTTTGAGTGGACAGTTCAATGGTATTAAATATATTCACATTGTTGTGTAACCATTACATCCATTCATCACAGAACTCCTTTCATCTTGCAAATATGAAGCTCTATACCCATTACATGGCAAGTCTCCATTATCTCCCCCAACTCCTGACTGTGGGCAACCACTCTTCTACTTTGCCTCTATAAACTTGCCTACTCTAGGTCCCTCATATAAGTGGAATCATATAGTATTTGTCCTATTGCGATTGGCTTATCTCACTTAGCATAATGTCCTCAAGTGTCATTCTTGTTGTAGCATAAGTCAGAATTTCTTTCCTTTTTAAGCTGAAAAATATTGCATTGTATGTATATACCACATTTTGCTCATCCATTCATCTGTTGATGAACAGGAGTTGCTTCCATGTTTTAGCTATTGTGAATAACACTACTGTGAACATGGGTATACCCTCATGTTCTTTTTTTATTTTTGGTTTGCGTCTTTCTTATCCATGGAATTTCCTAAGAGCTTGGGCATAGCCTGTTTTGATTCCTGTCAATAAGACCCTGAGAAGAGGATTTGCATGTGAGCAACTGATTAAGGACATGTTCCCGGGAGAAATTAGCAAGATAGTGTGGAAAGTGGAACAGGAAAGAGGACAGAGCCATACAAGTGTGCAGTTTCAGAAAATCCTATAGAAGGGAGTGTTAGCTTGATCCTATAGAAGAATTTTGGAATGCCGATTTTATGTCAATGCTGTCCCATCCCAAAGCAAGGCAGCTGAGCTTTCATACTCTTGTATGCTTTAGCCATACCCTTTGGAGATGTGAATTCCCAGACACCTCTGATTTTCTGTGTGCTTGGGCAACCTGGCTCCAGCAGCCACAGTGCAGCCTTCCAGATTAGCATTGTAGGTATGCGCTGTCAAAAGTAAAAGCACACCAAAGCTGGGGAAGGGGCGCATAGAAAAAGTAAATGGGACTGTCTTTTCCCCAGTGTTATGTTCTTGGCACCTTTGTGGAGTTCACTGTAGGATTGTAAGGCTCTGTGTAGAGCACCAGCAATGTCCACTCCAGTTTCTCACTGGGAGCTTACATTCCAGTATCCCGGATACAAACCATCACTTACATGCCCCCTCCACTGCCTTCCCAGGAGGTCCACTGAGGATTCATAAAAACATAACTTTTATTCACTGTAATGGTTAATATTAAGTGTCAGCTTGGTTGGATTGAAGGATGCAAAGTATTGTTTCTGGGTGTGTCCATGGGGGTGTTGCCAGAGGAGATGAACATTTGAGTCAGTGTATTGGAAAAGAAAAACTCACCCTTAATGTGGATAGGCACCATCCAACTGGCTGCCAGTGAGGCTAGAAAAAGCAGGTGGAAGACGGTGGAATAAGCTGGCTTGCTGAGTCTTCCAGCTTTCATCTTTCTTCCATGCTGGATGCTTCCTGACCTTGAACACCAGACTGCGGGTTCTTCAGCCTTTGGACTCTTGGACTTACAACAGTGGTGTGCCAGGGGCTCTCCAGCCTTTGGCCGCAGACTGAAGCCTGCACTCCCGGCTTCCTTACTTTTGGGGCTTTGGGACTTGGACTGAGCCACTACTGGCTTCCTTGCTCCTCAGCTCGCAGATGCCTTATTGTGGGACTTCAGCTTGTGATAGTGTGAGTCAATTCTCCTTGATAAACTCCTCTTCATATGTACATATATCCTATTTGTTCTGTCCCTCTGGAGAACCCTGACTAATACAGTCACATTCTCCATTTTGTCAGCATTTCTGAGAGAGGTGCTTCAGTGAACATCACTACACCAGCTATCTGAGAATAGCAACCGTATATTCTCGGTTCTGAGTGTCCAACCTCTAGTAGAAAGCTTCGTACGTGACAGTGTACCCTGAATTGAAATGACTTTCTGCTTTTCTGGGTATAGGATTAATTATATTGAACAGCACATGAGGGAAATCCTAAATAGAAACTGAATTCCAAAGACAAACTAACTTTAAGCCCACATGTGCTTACTAGACTGAAGGTTAGTTTCATTTAGTGGTATTTCTTGCTTTGAAATTAGGCATTAAGAAAAACAACCTTCCTGGGGGCTTTCAGCACATTCTGCTTCACATGGATGAATTCTCTTTGTGCAGATAATCTGGTCATACCTGGGGCTTCTCTTTATGTCCAGAATTGCAAAACCTCACATCTGATTTTCTCAAATACTCTCTAGATGTCCATTATTATCTTGGCAATCCTGTCTGCTACCATTGAAATTAGTTCTGAAGGTTGTTCACAAAGTTAAAGAATGATTTTCCTCTCGCCAACTGTGGAAGGAAAAAATTTTGGAGCAATATGGCAGATGAGGGACATTATTAATGCTATTTTACAAACTTATAAATATAACCTATATTATATGGGTCCACACTCATACCAGTACTCAGGTCCTAGGGACTTGCTATCACTGGCAATACTGCGTGGAAGGGAAAGATGTTATTAAAATCCACAAATCTGTATCTCCCACTGGGAACATAACTTTTAATTTGACAGTCATAAAATTCATCAACTATAACCATAACCACCATTTTAAAGATGGAGGAAGTGAGGTAGAGAAAGTTAATGGCATTTTACTGAAGGTATATTAATACAGTAATAGGTCCTGCTGTTAAGTACAACTCATTCATTTTCAGTCAAAAATAAATTCATTTCATGGGAAATGATAATTACTGATTAGCAATCTGGTTTATCTTTCTTCAAAAACATTTCTTCTTTGTGGCCTCCATTATTTCTCTTTGTGGTATAAAGTCCAGTTAATCCAAATGAATTTTGAAACTCAGTGGTAAAATTGTGCTTCATGCTCTTGGAACATAAGGATCTTTGACATTTGTAGTCTGGGATTTTGAGATAGAGCTGCACAGAGTGAAGTTCAAATCAGATTTAGAGTCAACTGACTTTCATTAAGTGACTTTTATGTGACTTAATCTCTGTGAGGTACTTTCTTAAATAGTATTCAACTTAATCCATACATCAATCTTATGAGAAGGGATTACTTATCCTAATTTCACAGCTGAAGGTGACAACTGATCTTGGTAACAGAATATATTATCATTTTATCACAGTATCCAGCAACATCATTCTTTTAAGTCTCATGATTGTCTGGCATTGTTCATTTAAGAACCAGGTAAGTGGCACTCATTGCCGCTGTGTCAAACTGGGGAAAAGTTATTTAGGGAAGAAAACCGATGTTTGGGCTATTAAAAGCAGTTTTTGAAATAAGAGGTTATCTATAAGGCTGGGGAATTTCCAAAGAAATATATATTTTGAAGAGTAAGGGAAGGAAGGAATAGAGATTATGGGAAAAAATATCGGATTGAGTAAGGGCATCCTATTTAGCTCTTGCTAATAGGATAAATATCAATGAAATATAAGGACAGTGTTACATTATACTGAATAAGCACAGTTCACAGTGTATAATAATAAAGCAACTTAATTTAGAGACCCACTGTATCTTAAAGGTTAGTGTATGAGGCTAATTCTCATCCTCTCGCGGGATGAACATTCTAGCAGGATCCATTACTCTTGTAGTTACTCTTAGGTAATACATAATTCTGAGGTCAATTCAAACCGTGAAACAGTTTAATAATTAAAATATCAAGTCCACTGTAACACTTAAAGCTTCAGTTTCAGTTTAAAATTGAGACTTCTTTTCCTCCCCAGCTGGGCCTTTTTAATGCAGCCAAACTGCAGTTGAGGAGGAGAGAAAAGTGCTGTGTTTCTCCATCTAGCACATTTACTTTTTTCTATTTTGCAAACCCTTGTTTCTGAGAACTGCAGATTGGACCACAAAGGGGGCAGATGAGTAAAGGGGAGCAATAAACTTCGTATGTCATGGGCACCGTCTTGGTGAAATAGCATCAGAACTCTGTAGACATGGTGTGTATGTAACGTTGACTCTTGCTTTCCAGGCCACCTTCATGGGCTCTTTGATGAGTCACCTCCCCAAGTTGCAAGGAATTTCTCACCTGTAATTCCTATGAGGAGGGCAGATGCATCTCTAATATGGCTGATAGTTTACTTCTTTGACACTATAAGAAACTCTGGCAATCCCTAGATCTTTCATGAGCCAGGTTTCAGTGAAGATAATCATATTAAGAATCTGGGGAGCAGAAATGGATTTAACATAGGAGATTATTGCTTTAAAATTTTTTGGAAGCACTGAGGGAGTAGATTCTAGGCTGAATATTTAGGAATGACTCTCAGAAAAATATAGGACTGACCCAACAGGAGAGCAACTACCTCTGAGACCACTACTGAACCTATTACAAATGAAAAACCTCCTGCTGCCATTGACCATTCCAATTCCCTTTGGAAACATAGGGAACTAGAATACACACATCATTGCTTTGATTCCTGAAGTAAAGTAGCAAACCAAAGCATGAAGTCAATGCTGCCACTTCAGTCACCCCCACAACTACTCACCAGCCAGGCAACCGGAGAATGGACACTGCTGCAGAGAGAATTCATGTTCCCATGACAGTGTTGCTGGCAGAAACAGCCAAATAAAGTCTGGGAAAATAGATTCTGTCTCACTCCTGCTTTCTAAATCTCAAGTAGGTAATTCTAATTGTCAGAGCTTAATTTACATACGGAAATATAGCCGTAAGGAAATTTAGGAGGTAATTTTAACGTCCTAGTCTTTCCAAACTGAGTAAGAAAATCCACAAGAACAAGCTCACTGGCAGCCTAATAAGGACCAGGAGGGAAGAACAGTCTTAGGCAAAAGTTACATTGAGAAAACAGTGGAGTGAGGAAAAGTATTCAGGTTTTTTAGGACATTATTGAGCCAATGATTAAAGCATGCTTGAAACCTTTCTGAACTTAAGCTGTATAAAATAGTGAAATACGTTCTTGTTTAAGCTTACAAGTTTTGGGATTTTTTTTGTGACTTGCACCTGAAAAAATATTACTTGATACTCTACTACACCATTTAAAATTATTTGTTTGCTTTTTATTGTGGGTCTCTCCTCACCTCTGAAATCTAAGCTCCAGAAGGGTGGGGGATTTCTAATGTCTTATTCACACTCCCTTCTGAGTACCTGGACCAATGCTTAAAATAGAGTAGACATCAAAGATAGTTGCTGAAATACTAAGGTGAGAAATAAAACAAAAATAGAGAACAAAATGTGAAATTGTGGCTTAAAAGGGGTAGAGATAACCAAGTGGTATTTGTACTAGGAATGCAAAGTTGGTTTAACATTAAAAATCAGCATAACATTATATCAACAGATTAAAAGAGAAAAATTATATGACCAGATGCAGAAAAACTATTTGACACATTTCAACATCAGTTCTTGATAAAAACTCTTACCAAACTATAACTTGAAGGGAAATTCTTCATCCTGATAAAGGACATCAATGATGATCTAACGCAGGTGTCAAACTTAATGATGAAAGATGGAATGCAGTTTCTTTAAGAATGAAAACAAAAAAGGTTGTTTATTCTTATACCTCTATTCAGCCTTGTACTCTGGGTTTCAGTTAGCTCAAGAAGACAAGATAAATATAAAAGACAATCAGATTAGAAAAGAGAAAATAAAATTATCTTCATTAGACAACCTGATTGTCAATGTAGGCATTCTCCCCAAAATCTAAAAAAAAGGCTATTAGAACTATGAACTACACAAGTTTGGCAAGGTTGCAGATTACAAGCTCAATATACTAGAAAATCTGCTGTTCTTTTACATACGAACAATGAAAATTGGAAATTGAAGTAAAAACAGTACTACTTGCAATAGAATCATAAAATATAAAAAACTTAAGATCAAATTTAACAAAATATCAATATTTGAATGTTGAAAATCAAAAACAGGAAACAGTGATGAGCGAAATTAAAATGGACCTAAACAAATGAAAGGAGATCTTATGTTCAAGGATTGAATGACCCAGCATTGAAAAAAATGTCAGTTCTTTTCAAAGTCATCTATAGATCTAATGAAATAGCCATCAATATCCCCAAAGGCTTTGTTGAAATTAACAAGCTGATTCTAAAATGTTATAGAAGTACAAGGGACTTAGAATAGTCAAACCAATTTTGTAAATAAAGAACAAAGTTGGAAGACTGTTCAGAATTTACTTTAAAACTATAATAATCTGAACAGGGTGGTATTGGTTCAAGGATAGTAGTATAGATGAATAGAACGGAATAGTGTCTAGAAAGAAGAACACAAATATGGTCAACTGATTTTCAACAAAGGTGCTGAGGTAATTCATAAGAGGAAGGATAGTCTTTTTAAAGATAGTGCTGGGACAAGTGTACATCCATATGAAAAAAAGTGACCCATATCTCACACTATATGCAAAAATGGATCAGAGGCTTAGATATAAAACCTGAAACTTAAACTTGTAGAGGAAAACATTGGAGACAAATGTTTGAGACTTTGAGTTAGGCAAAGATTTCACAGAGAGGATGCACAAAACCCAGCCCATAAAAGAAAAAAAACGTCTAAATTGGACTTCATCAAAATTAAAAACTTCTGCTCTTTGGAAAATACTGTTAAAAATGAATAAAGTGAAAAATGCTATTACAAATGAAAAAAGGGAGCCATAGTTGAAAGAAAATCTTTGCAAAACACGTGAGGATTTGTAACCAGAATATATAAAGATGTATCAAAATGCAGTAGTAAAATCATAAATCTGATTTTTAAAAATGGACCAAGGCTTTGAGTGGACACTTTATTGAAGGAGAGATACCGGATGGCTGGTTGCAAGTAAGCACATGAAAAGACACTTAACACAATTACTTACAAGGGAATTGCAAAGTAATGCCAGGAAATACCACCACACATTTATTAGAATGACAACAACAAAACAAATAAACTCCACCCCTTCATTTGTTTGTGCACCTTCACGCTAATCTGACAGTTCTAAGTGTTGACAAGGATATGAGGATATGGACTACCTGGAACTGTCATATATTGCTGGTGGGAATGCAGAATAGTATGACAATTTTGGAAAACAGTTTGGCAGTTTCTTATAAACATATACTTAGCACAGGGCCAGCAATCCCACCCCTAGGTGTTTGCCCATGAGAAGTGAAAACATGTGCCTACACAAAGGTCTCTATGCAAATATAGCAACCCAAATGTCCATCAACTGATGAATGGATAAATGAAATTTTGGCACACCCATGCAATGGAATACTATTCAGCAATAAAAAGGAACAAACTACTAATACATGCAACAATATGTATACACATGTAGAAAATACATGTAGAAAAGTAAAACTATAGGAACAGAAATTAGATCAATGGTTGTCAGGTGCTGGGAGTAGGAGAGGTACACAAGAAAGTTTTTGATGAAGATAAAATTTATTTTGATTGTGATAGTTACAAAACTACATTTGTCAAAGTGTATAAAACTGTACACCTAAAAAGGTGAATTTTACTGGATGTAATTTTTTTTAAAAAAGGAATGATGGGAAATACTAAAATAAACTTAAATTAAAAATTAAGCCTAAATATCAGTTGTAAATTTAGTAACAATATCATACCCAGAGTGATAAATAATTCTTATAAAAAGGACAAATATTCAAGTAAATAATTTTAATCATTTGAAATAAGAAACTGGGTTCAAAACTGGAATTATATATTATCTTTTTAAAATCATTGATTAGAAAAAATACAAATAAATATACCCACCCTTTCAATTCAAGCAGTCCTAAAGAAAACAATAAATGAGTCAAAGGAAACCAGGAGAAAGAAATTAATAAAGATAAAAGAAGATTTTGGTGGATTAGAACACAGGAATAAGAAGATTTGATTAATAAATTCCAAAAATTATTGGGAAAAATATTGAAATGAATTTCTGCTTGACTACTGAAGAAATTGAGTGATGTTAGGAGCTAGAATAGAATATGACCACTAATAAAAAAAAGAAAAAAAACGTATCCGAATAAGATGAGAAGTTTACTGCCCTGTTAACTTTGTTATCAAAAGCAATAATAATAACATATTAATAACATTTGTATTAATAACATTTGTATTAAGGAGCAACAGATAAAGTAATTTTTGTCAAAAATATCCCTTTAAAAGAGGACAGTGTTATAGTTCTTGAATATGTGGTCATTGCCTATTGTGGAGATGAATGTGCTTATGACTCAGTCACTTGGCCAAAAACTGAGCTAAACAATAACCACCAACCGTGGTAAACTTGGCCAACACATACTATAAAGTGTTTTTATTCTTAGTGAAATTATAACAAGCTGTCTCTCAGACCACAGTGCAATCAAGCTAGAATTCAAGATTAAGAAACTCACTCGAAACCACTCAACTACGTGGAAACTGAACAACCTGCTCCTGAATGATTACTGGGTACATAATGAAATGAAGGCAGAAATGAAGATGTTCTTTGAAGCCAATGAGAACAAAGACACAACATACCAGAATCTCTGGGACACATTTAAAGCAGAGTGTAGAGGGAAATTTATAACACTAAATGCCCACAAGAAAAAGCAGGAAAGATCTAAAATTGACACCCTAACATCACAATGAAAAGAACTAGAAAAGCAAGAGCAAACACATTCAAAAGCTAGCAGAAGGCAAGAAATAACTAAGATCAGAGCAGAACTGAAGGAGATAGAGACACAAAAACCCCTTCAAAAAATCAGTGAATCCAGGAGCTGGTTTTTTGAAATTATCAACAAAATTGATAAACCACTAGCAAGACTAAATAAAGAAGAAAAGAGAAAAGAATCAAGTAGATGCACAGAAATACAAACTACCATCAGAGAATACTATAAACACCTCTATGCAAATAAACTAGAAAATCTAGAAGAAATGGATAAATTCCTCGACACATACACCCTCCCAAGACTAAACCAGGAAGAAGTTGAATCCCTAAATAGACCAATAAAAAGCTCTGAAATTGAGGCAATAATTAAGAGCCTACCAACCAAAAAAAGTCCAGGACCAGACGGATTCACAGCCGAATTCTACCAGAAGTACAAAGTGGAGATGGTACCATTCCTTCTGAAACTATTCCAATCAATAGAAAAAGAGGGAATCCTCCCTAACTCATTTTATGAGGCCAGCATCATCCTGATACCAAAGCCTGGCAGAGACACAGCAAAAAAAGAGAATTTTAGACCAATATCCCTGATGAACATCGATGCAAAAATCCTCAATAAAATAATGGCAAACCAAATCCAGCAGCACATCAAAAAGCTTATCACCCACGATCAAGTTGGCTTCATCCCTGGGATGCAAGGCTGGTTCAACATACGCAAATCAATAAAAGTAATCCCTCATATGAACAGAACCAAAGACAAAAACCACATGATTATCTCAATAGATGCAGAAAAGGCTTTCAACAAAATTCAACAGCCCTTCATGCTAAAAACTCTCAATAAACTAGGTATTGATGGGACGTGTCTCAAAATAATAAGAGCTATTTATGACAAACCCACAGCCAATATCATACTGAATGGGCAAAAACTGAAAGCATTCCCTTTGAAAACTGGCACAAGACAGGGATGCCATCTCTCACCACTCCTATTCAACATAGTGTTGGAAGTTCTGGCCAGGGCAATCAGGCAGGAGAAGAAAATAAAGGGTATTCAATTAGGAAAAGAGGAAGTCAAGTTGTCCCTGTTTGCAGATGACATGATTATATATTTAGAAAACCCCATCATCTCAGCCCAAAATGTCCTTAAGCTGATAAGCAACTTCAGCAAAGTCTCAGGATACAAAATCTATGTGCAAAAATCACAAGCATTCCTATACACCAATAACAGACAAACAGAGAGCCAAATCATGAGTGAACTCCCATTCACAATTGCTTCAAAGAGAATAAAATACCTAGGAATCCAACTTACAAGGGATATAAACAGAACCTCCTCAAGGAGAACTACAAACCACTGCTCAATGAAGTAAAAGAGGACAGAAACAAATAGAAGAACATTCCATGCTCATGGATAGGAAGAATCAATATTGTGAAAATGGCCATACTGTCCAAGGTAATTTATAGATTCAATGCCACACTCATCAAGCTACCAATGATTTCCTTCACAGAACTGGAAAAAACTACTTTAAAGTTCATATGGAACCAAAAAAGAGCCCGCATTGCCAAGACAATCCTAAGCCCAAAGAACAAAGCTGGAGGCATCACACTACCTGACTTCAAACTATACTACAAGGCTACAGTAACCAAAACAGCATGGTACTGGTACCAAAACAGAGATATAGACCAATGGAACAGAACAGAGCCCTCAGAAATAATACCACACATCTACAACCATCTGATCTTTGACAAATCTGACAGAAACAAGAAATGGGGAAAGGATTCCCTATTTAATAAATGGTGCTGGGAAAACTGGCTAGCCATATGTAGAAAGCTGAAACTGGATCCCTTCATTACACCTTATACAAAAATTAATTCAAGATGGATTAAAGACTTAAATGTTAGACCTAAAACCATAAAAACCCTAGAAGAAAACCTAGGCAATACCATTCAGGACATAGGCATGGGCAAGGACTTCATGACTAAAACACCAAAAGCAATGGCAACAAAAGCCAAAATTGACAAATGGGATCTAATTAAACTAAAGAGCTTCTGCATAGCAAAAGAAACTACCATCAGAGTGAATAGACAACCTACAGAATGGGAGAAAATTTTTACAATCTACCAATCTGACAAAGGGCTAATATCCAGAATCTACAAAGAACTTAAGCAAATTTACAAGAAAAAAAATCAAACAACCCTATCAAAAAGTGGGGGAAGTATATGAACAGACAATTCTCAAAAGAAGACATTTATGCAGCCAACAGACACATAAAAAAATGCTCATCGTTACTGGCCATCAGAAAAATGCAAATCAAAACCACAATGAGATACCATCTCACACCAGTTAGAATGGCAATCATTAAAAAGTCAGGAAACAACAGATGCTGGAGAAGATGTGTAGAAATAGGAACACTTTTACACTGTTGGTGGGACTGTAAACTAGTTCAACAATTGTGGAAGACAGTGTGGCGATTCCTCAAGGATCTAGAACTAGAAATACCATTTGACCCAGCCATCCCATTACTGGGCATATACCCAAAGGATTATAAATCATGCTGCTATGAAGACACATGCACACGTATGTTTATTGTGGCACTATCCACAATAGCAAAGACTTGGAACCAGCCCAAATGCCCATCAATGATAGACTGGATTAAGAAAATGTGGCACATATACACCATGGAATACTATGCAGCCATAAAAGAGGATGAGTTCATGTCCTTTGTAGGGACATGGACGAAGCTGGAAACCATCATTCTGAGCAAACTATCCCAAGGACAGAAAACCAAACACCGCATGTTCTCACTCATAGGTGGGAATTGAACAATGAGAACACTTTGGCACAGCGTGGGGAACATCACACACCAGGGCCTGTCATGGGGTGGAGGGTGGGGGGAGGGATAGCATTAGGAGATATACCTAATGTAAATGACAAGTTAATGGGTGCAGCACACCAACATGGCACATGCATACATATGTAACAAACCTGCACGTTGTGCACATGTACCCTAGAACTTAAAGTATAATATAAAAAGAATAAAATTATTCTTAATGCTCGACAATTACTTAAGATGGGGACATAAGGAATATAGAAACTGATATACATCAAGTTAATGAGGCATATAAAATGTTAATAGTTCTCAAATCTGTAAGCTGCATCCATTTGATCAAAATTCTCATGTAGCACAGCAGGACAGTTGAGAAGAATTCAAAAATCAATATTAAGTGGAGAATGTAAAGTTGACTTTTCATTTGTGTGGGGATAAAGACTGTTGTTTACCACGTGTGTTACTATTAGAGGAGTGTGCATCCTCAGACAAATGAAACAAAATATGTATTTTTGTGTGTAAAATATATGAATTTCAAACTTCCTCAGCAAGATAGTTTTTAATCTATTTTATGCCATAATGCAGTTAAATTTAAATTTTATTATACTCTTGGCTGCCCATATCAATATAATACGCATTTAAAATTATACTTTTACTTACAAAATTAATTTAAATTAAATAGCATTTCTCACTGTTAGCAGAAAAAAGTCAAAACCTGTTTTTATACATAGGTGGTGTAAATTTTTTCTTTTTCTTTTTTTCTTCTTTTTCTCTTTGGCTTTTAGTAACCTCAGGCACATATACCCAGAGTGATAAATAATTCTTAAAAAGGACAAATATTCAAGTAAATAATGTAAATCATTTGAAATAAGAAACTGGGTTCAAAATTGGAATTATATATTATATTTTATATATAAATATTAAATATAAATATGTGATTTGTGGAAGATTGCATTTAAGTGGAATTTAAAATGTAATAGATTTTCAACCTAAAATCACATCATTATAGCATACAATGCAAAAACTGTCAAATCTGCCAACAAGTATCAAGGTATTGAAGACCTTCTAGATATGTGCTATTTAATATGGTAGCCACTAGCTGTGTGTGGCTATTTAAGTTTAAATTAATTAAAATGAAATTTAAAAAGTTAGTTTCCTACTCACACTAGCCACATCTCTCTTGCTCAGTAGTATTCATGACTCGTGGCTATCATATTGTACAGTACAGATGTAGAACATTTGTGTTATCATAGAAAATTCTATCAGACCACATTTATCTATATTATTGTGAAAGGGATTTGCTAGTTAAAATAGTAAAAAAGGCTATATTATGTTTTGAAGTTATTCTTGTTAATGTCTTTTTAATGATTATAAGCATTTGGAGAATAGGATTTTTGTCTGACCAGAACCTGGTACATGCTAGATGCTTAATACATACAAATACACTTATTTTTTTATACCCCAGTGCCAATAATGAAGTCAACCACAGCAGAAATGGCAACAATACCATCATATATTTTCATATGAATTTCATAGATATGAAATTCAAAACTTTATATTTTATAAGGTGCTTTCATGTAAATTTTCTCATTTGAGTTTAAAAGCAGTTTCAGAAAGTTGTCAGTAATTCTTCCATTTTGGAGTTGAGAAGTCTGAAATTCAGGAAGGTGAAAGGACTTTTCTAAAGGTTAACATGTGTCTACTTGGTAAGGTGGTCCTGATTCTACTATCTTGAAGAAAAGAAAATTTAACAACTAGTATACATGTCAAATAATACAACAGAATGTATTACACTGAATGCAGTTAACCTTGAGATGCTGTTTACAGATGCCATCTTGATGGGACAAACTGAAGCTACTGATCAAAGGAACAAAAGACACGTATCTCTATAGGGTCAGCCTTGCATTTATTTGCAGCTGAAAACAATTATGAGTTCCTGCTACAATCGAGCAAACTCTGACAATATGCTGTCAGCCAAAGATATAGAAAATGCACAACTAAGCCAGTCTCAATTTGGCATCAATAAGGAATAAAGCTCCAACTGAAAACAGATGCCTATATAATCATGGGTAAGAACCTCCAGGTGTTTACATCATTTTAGGCCCAACATTTTGGAGACTGGATAATTTACGGGACTCCAACTTTGTGAGAAACGTGAGTGAATTTTCTGATTCTCAGAGCTTAGGCAGGAATAATGCTACCCAGATGGAGGGCTGATGCACAATTTGAAGTATTGTCACGTTTGGGTCAATGGCTAAAAGAGTTTCTGCAAGCAGTCAGAACATGTTGTTGCACATCAATCAGATAAAAAGTTGCTGAGTTTCAGCAAAATCCTGTTGGCCATGAAGGTGAAAACCATACTGTAAAATTTTTTGTCATCATCTATAGGACAAATGCTAAGCTTCTGTAGCACACTGTGTGTGTGCATGTGTGTGTGTGTGATGTATATTGGTATAAGGAAAAAATCACAAACAGAAGATAATGAGTCTGTGGGTATGTATGTATATTGTCTGGATTTATTCAGTTGCAAATGTCAGAAATTCAGTTCAAATCAGCTTAAACAAAGAAACACAAATTGGAATCAATTGGCTCATATAACTGGGATTGTTCAAGGGGTCAAGCTGTTTTTAGAAATGGTTGGATTGTGAGGTTAGATTGATGTCATTAAGAATTCGTTTGTTTGTTTGTTTTGTTTTCTCCATCTCTCAGAGCTGCACTCTTCTGTTGGACTCATTCTCATAAAGCTTCTTTTCTTTTTTTTGAGACGGAATCTCGCTCTGTCGCCCAGGCTGGAGTGCAGTGGCACGATCTTGGCTCACTGCAACCTCCGCCTCCTGGGTTCACGCCATTCTCCTGCCTCAGCCTCCCGAGTAGCTGGGACTACAGGCTCCCGCCACCATGCCCGGCTAATATATTTTTTTTTTGTATTTTTAGTAGAGATGGGGTTTCACCATGTTAGCCAGGATGATCTCTATCTCCTGACCTCGTGAACCACCCACCTTGGCCTCCCAAAGTGCTGGGATTACAGGCATGAGCCACCGCGCCCGGCCAGAAAGGTTCTTTTCAAAGGGCCACAAAGCTGTTCTTAACCGCATCCTCTTAGTGGGTCCTTAGCCTCTATAATCATAGAAGAGAAGTAATTTTTTCCCCAATAGTCACAGAAAAACTTCCAAGGAGGGCTCTGATTAGTATGACTTTGGTCACCTGGCCATTTGCGACCAGAAGGATGGACAATGATTGACCAGGCCCTGTCATGTGTCTTTCTCTGGAAGGAAAAGTAGAGGTCACCTCACTCAAACCAGGTAGTTTAAGAACAGGGGAGAAGTGGTTCCTGAAATGAAAAATGAGTTTCTGATGGCAACCAGAGAAACAGATGGTCACTATTCGAGTGTGTGTATGTATGTATGCGTGTGTGTGTGTTGCGTTGTTTGAGACCAAACCCTAGACAATGTTCATCAGTCACATCGGCAAGACCCAATTCAAGTACTATTTATAACTTTGTTATAAACCTTATGTTACTCTAGAAACTTTATGCTCAACCACAGTGTCCAATGTAAAAAGTAAGTGACTGATCTTGGATTGATGCTGAGAAGTGCTAGATATGAAATTCAAATATCTTCATGAATTCACATGTAGCAAACATCAAAGTAAATTATCATTAAGTTTTATATGCTAATGACTTATAATAAATAATTGGCTTTGGTAAGATAAGGACTGGGTGGTCTAATAGATCTCAATAAATATTTGTTGACTTACAAATGAATATGTAAGCAAAATCCTAATTAATTTTTTCCTATTATTGTTTTCATGCTCTTAAAATAATTTATTTTTCATAATCTTCCAGATGTTTGCCAGCATAAAATAGAATTAAACCAATGAGTACTTGATAATAAATTTGACATTTTATGTGACTCCCATGGACTTTCAGTTATTGAGCTCATGAGAAGAAAGACTTTTTTTTCCAAATGAGAATGGAGTTCTTGGCGGATAGAATTAGGAATTCATTTTAATAATAAAATCTGAGCAAAGATAACTGCTAGTTATCTAAATGCCTAATTTTCTTTGATTCTGCAAAATAAGAATTATTTTGTAGACTTCTTCAAGCTAAATCCATAAAATGTCATGCTAATTATACTCGAGATGTGAAATTTGATGTGATTGTAGGAGCCACTACAGCTTTATTCTGTATCATACTTCTTTCAAATAGCAATCATAAAACCTTGAAAGGTTTTCAATATTGGATGCTATTTTAGCAATCAATAGCACCCAGAACCATGGGTCACTGGAGAAGAAAATTCATATCACATAATGATTTAGGCTACTAAGTTAAAAGGCAATAATGCTCACTCTTTAAAATACATAGTTTGTCATTAAAGAAAACAGGTAGTTTCAGGGCACACAGCCATAGAATTCTATGTTGTTTAAAAAGTCTTTGTAACTATTATCTCTCTTATTCCTATTAAAAGAACATACCACAATGACTTTTCATCACACTTCTTTCAGTTGTTTTAAATATTGTTCACTCAAAATTATCCTATGATCTGTAGTGAGACAAAGTTGTTAGTGTAAATTTTGTTATCCCAAGGGGTAAGTGAGCTTATAAGGCAGGGTGTCTTCTAGAAGGTGGGACCATATTGTTTTCTTCAGGCAGCATTCCACAGAGGTACTACATGGCTGTTATTCAGGGACTCCTGTAAGCTGACAGCCACATCTTTTCCACTTGACTCTGAGCTATCATCACACATTTGTACAGAAAACCTCTAACAAAGCTCAGGGCCCCACAGTTCCTTCTTACATGAGGAATATTCTGGTATGTCTTGCTGGTTCCTGTCTCTTCTTTCTAATTGCTCTTTTTATGGGCTGACCTGGCCACTAACTTTCCACTTGTTTTTTACTTTCAGCCCTTAGGTCTGATGACACAGCTACCTCTGTGCTTCTATTCTTTTTACTCTTTTGGATACCCCATGGCTTGTCACTAGAACTGTCCTTCTTGGTAGATACCAGCTTTTGTAATTCATTAACAGTCTTTGAGTATTAACTATTATCAGCTTGAAGCTATTCCAAGGCTAGTCAAAGGAAGAGCTAAGGATAGAATTTAGGGACAGTAAAAGTTCAAGAAGAGAGCTGCTAAGAAATAAAAGGGCAATGGAAGGAAAGAAAGTTTTCCTCACTAAGCTTTATAATCAGACAAGTCTATATTCTCTGCAGAGGCATGGACAGAATCTGAAAGGATATTTCAATTAGGAAGCTATACTGAAAACCAATGTCAAAGACTAGTTTTAAGAGAACAAATGTGATAGAGATCCCATTGGAGTGGTGCTACAGGTCATCAGAGCAGGGATTGACTTGCTCAGAGAGTCAGCCAGGATAGTGCCAGAACTGGAATTTTCATCTCAGCTGTTTCTAAAATCCGAATTGCATCTATATGTGCTACCACCCTTTCCGCCCTCACTTCTCAAGAGGGTTCATACGTCTTCTTTGACAGTACAATAATTCAACCAACAACGAATACATCTAGTTATACTGGGAACCAACTGATATTCCTCTATGCTGTTCTCACAGATATCATGAGAGATAAAACATCACATGCTGGCTAAGCTCTACACAGACTATACCTTACATTCCCCTAATTTACCCAATCTACTAACTGGTCAGGACAAACTGACCGGTTGACGTAGTGAACTGGTGTTGGCCCCTAGTGATCTATGTATTTTTATAGGTGACCACAATGATTGGTTTCATATTGTGGTGCTCTTCCTTAAATATTGGGATTATATTTTTTCCACGTTCTATGTCCTGGCATCCTTTTCAGTTTTGTGACTCATCAAATATTAGTGACATTAGCTGGTTCTCTAATTTTGTATCCATCAATATGGTGTGCTCGGGCTATAAGACTTAGGATGATATAATGTAGCTGATGTTTTCTTAGCATTTCTTGATTCATTTTGACTTTATTCCTGTTAATTGGACAACGAAGGCAAATGGAACTCAGGAGCTAAGGAGTTCTGATTTTTTAAAATGTCATCCAGCATGGTTATACCGTTGACCACAAGTAGTGAGTATATTACTTCATTTTTGTACTAAGAAAAAGTTGAGGAGAGAACCAGATCTTTTGTCAAACTTGTCTTTTTTTTTCGGGTATCAGATCATTTGATGTTTAGTCTTCTAGGAATTAGTCTTGCTTATCTGAGCTACTGCCTTAAAAATAAGTAACACTGTAAGTGGTGATTGAAAGAAAGTGACCGATATCTTAATTTCAAAGAGATTTTGCTGAACTCACATATAAACCTCATTTCTGAAAAAAAAAAAAAAAAAAAAACGTGGTAAGCAACATAAAATGTCTACTAAATTTAAAAAATAAATAAATTAATAAATCAGTATCTTTTGCTCTTTTGAATAATACAGGCTCGCCATCCTCATCTCTTTCCATTATAAAGAACTAAGGTCTTATAAAATCAGAACCCTTGGCCATATCCCAAGCTATATTAATTTTTTTGTAGAGGCCCTAAGACCGTGGTGAGTATTTCAAATATATTATTTATAATTTTTATTTCTTTTTTTTTTGTTTTTGAGACAGAGTCTTGCTCTGTCGCCCAGGCTGGAGTGCAATGGCACGATCTCAGCTCACTGCAACCTCTGCCTCCCAGGTTCCAACAATTCTTCTGCCTCAGTCTCCCGAGTAGCTGTGATTACAGGCGCCCACCACCATGCCTGGCTGATTTTTGTATTTTTTTAGTAGAGACGGGGGTTTCACCATGTTGGTCAGGCTGGCCTCGAACTCCTGACCTCAGGTGATCCATCCGCCTTGGCATCCCAAAGTGCTGGGATTACAGGTGTGAGCCACCGCGTCCGTCCTGTGATTTTAATTTCTTAACCACAACTAGTTACTTGCCAAAAGTCAATCAAGACTAACTAATTTTTTCAGAAAACCTTCAATTAATTTGGATATCCCATTATGTCTGCATGATGGGTTTAAAAATATTTTGGGAAAACAGCTCTTTACAAAGTAGGTGATTGGGGTGGCAGTGCTAAAAGGGTTATCTTAAACAATTCTATATAAATTTAAAATAAATACTTAGCTGGCTTGAAAGTGCAGAGTCAGAACATTCTAGAAAATATGAAAACAAAACCCCTCATACTACTATGGACACTAAGGTCTATTTTCTGTTAATAGGGTAAAATATTAGACAGAAAACAAAATTACATGAAAAAGAAGGTTTATTTCCTGTTCATAGAGTTCCAAATACCCAGATCACTCCAGAACACATTCCCCCAGCTGCCAGGAATGTTATGTGCTAATGGCTGGCAGGTGTTCCTCTCCAGGAGCTGCCTCAGTCAAATGGGGCCTTCTCTCCCAAGGTTATCCCTCCACAGGGGTAGCGCATGTCTAATAAAGGGTCAAGGTGGAGTTACAAGGATTGCCCCTTGCCTTAATTTCAGACAACCCTAAAGGGCCATTCTTTCTCCAGAGTTCCCTGTGGGATCAGCAAGGCCTCTGTTGTAACTGCATCACATATCATAGATCAACTTTGCCCTCTGCCCAATTCTCACAGTTGTCATTCATGAAATCACCCCCCAAGGGGTGATTCATGCAAATCTCTACTCTAGAGTATGTTTCCAGGGAGCCAAACCTATGACAGTTGGTACCAGAAATGGTTTTAGGGAGCCGAATCTATAGTGCAGTTTTGGAGCAGGAAAACCTCATCACCAACTGTAGATAGAGTACATGGCCCCTGGCATGCTATAATTCTGCAATTGCTAAAATTTTCATTGGGATTGCATAATATTGGAAGGGAATGCCTTGGTTGCTGCAATATCTCAGGCACTTGAGAGTTGTGTGGGAAACAGAAATTATGAGAATTATGGAATCGATCATGCTTCATAATACTGATGCATTGGAGAAGACAATGAAAGGCTAAAGGTTAATCACCAGATGAAGAAAAAATAAGTAAATCAGAGTGCCTCCTTAGCAGTGTATATAGAGATGTACCTCTTTTAGCTGAAAGAGAAGAAAAATCTGAGGTCCAAAGCTTGAGAGTAGCAGAGTTCTTGAGAAATTTGAACTCTCTACTCCAACAAATCTTCTATGCCAAATTCAGGAGGACCTGATTGGAAAGGTGTGGGACTCTGAGATTTGGAATGGGCTATCTGTATCACTTTACTCCATAAATTTGAAAACTCAGATCCTATTGAACCCTCTGGGCCTACAGAAGTGACCAGCTCCTCCCTGTTAAATGCTGATGATCCCTCCGGCTTAATGACAATGTGGAGGTCTCTACCTTGAAGGTCAATACATGTCACCATAAGGAGACATGTATTGTTTGCTTGCTCCGTAGATATCTTTCACTGGTGTCTTTTTGTCAATTTCTCAATATATTTCCAAGATATTTTCCTTTAAATATATTTTGGGGCAACATTATTTGGCACATAAAGTTTAATTATAGATATATCGTTTTCTCCTTATATCAGCAGTTTGGAGAGGTTGTGCCTGACCAGCATAGCTCTTCTTTATTTAGGTAAGCAATAAAATCATCTTTGTGTTTTTTTATTTCAGATATTAAGTCTTGATCTCATCCTTTCAGAATACTTACTTCATCAGGTTGTTTTGAAGGTTAAAGTCAAAGAACTGAACAAATAATAGCTGTTTTTGTTTTCCATGCTATTTTGTTTAGTACATAAATGTTCAACATGGCCTTTTAGCTTTTATCAATATAAAATGCTATATTTTCTCCTTTAGGGCTTGAATTTTATTTTATTTATTTTAATTTTTAAAGATTGTTTATTTGTTTATTTATTTTAGAGACAGTGTATTGCTCTGTTGTCCAGGCTGGTGCAGTGGTGTGATCACAGCTCACTCAAACTGCTGGAATTATGTGATCCTCTTGCCCCAGCCTCTTGAGTAGCTGGGACTACAGGCTCCTGCCACCACTTCTGGCTGGTTTTTTTAAACATTATTTTTTAAGAGATGAGGTCTCACTATGTTCACCAGGCTGGTTGCAAACAGTTTTGTTTTATATTAGCATTACAACCCTTCCCTTCCTGAAATTTCTTGAGAAATGTTTTGAGTTTTGCCAATTTGTTGGCCTTTAATTCCTCTGTGTTTATCATTTCTGGTCAGAGGACTCCTCAAGGCAGAGATTCAATTTCATAAGTAGTATCTTAAAAATGTTTGTCATTACTAGAAATAATTACTTATTGTGTTCATGGCTAATTTCAGGTACTGCTAGGGTATTAATTCAGTTTACATCATTATTAAAAATCTTTTAAATCTCCAAAGCCCAGGACTTCAATATTTTAACTTAGATACTTACATAGGGAACAAAAATAGTGGGATGAGAAGTTGGCATGTAGTGGCTGCAGTAGGAAGCAGTTAAGGGCTGGTGTAGACTCTATGTCTCTGAACTATAATATTCTATAGACCTGGGACCTCACTGACCAGAGTTTTGGGTCTACCTACATTTGATTTAAGACCAAACAGGACTACTTTGCATCTGAAAGCCAAAAAGACCATCTGCCCTATGATTTTTGCTACTCAATAAGTGGGCCTTTTTCTCCTTGAAATAATCTGCATATGCGAGCAACAGAGGTCTGAGAATTACTTGGTAAGTATACAGACTCAGAAATGAGTTAGATGTGCAGGTCAAGACATGTCTAAACCTATAATCATGGTCCAGTTGGATGTGAACCTTTTATTCAAACTGATACTGGTGATAAACTCCCAAAATATCCCCCTCCCCATTTTCAGTATTTAAAGATAACAGGATAACCACTCTCTACTTTTTTTTTGTTTTCTGAGTCACATCAAACTACTTCCTAGTTCCTTGAGTTTGTATTTTATTTTAGACAGAAAGGATGATTTTTATTTTGTCATACATATTCTATAGTCCTTTTTATTAATAAGAAGATAGGCTAGAGTAGGGTTTCTCAACCTGGGCATTACTGACATTTTGGACCAGATAATTCTTTATTATTGAAATTGTGGCTCCAACACCTTTATGGCAGATGTGATGTTGCTTCTTTCTGGCACTTCCCCCAGTTTAGAAGAAAAGATAGCAGGTTGTAATTATGTCATACCATGAAGTGCTAGAGAAGGTAGGAGGCTTCCCACTGTTTTGAGCCCTCAGGAAAAGTACAGGGGTCAAAAAGACAGTTACTAACCATTGGTTTTAACTCCAATTTCACTGTAGGACCTTGGATGAGTGCTGAGTCTCCTGGTATTTTCAGTTCAGTCATTTGTCATATGTTTGATCTCTAAAGTTACTTCTAGTAATGTGAATTATTCACCATTATGTCCTCAATATCTCCCATATTGTCTGGTTTATGGGAGTTACTAGATAACATTTGTTGAATAAATGAATATTCTGAATGTTCTTTGAGTCTAAGATTGCACTTTCATTGGCATTCAAAATTATGTTTGTCTTATCCAACACTAAATCCCCAGAACCTACCACACTTAGAGGAACATTTTAAGGAGTTAGTAAACATTTATCTGATAAAAAGCATGAACAAACATCATATGATTTTTTAGATTATAAGATCACTAACAACAAATACAAATTCCAAAGACTTACCATATTACTTTTATTCAAAACTACTCTCAGTGTAGGATATAGAAATACTACAATAATGTATTCCAGCCCAAGTCATGGTATTTTAATACACATTTGTCCAAAAAGTGAGCGGTTCTTGCACTGAATTAGGACTTGTCCAGGCAAATTTTTACCTGTCATCCTCCTTTGAACAGCTGTGGTTTTTCAAAGACAGCTTTATTGGCTTTGAGGAGCACCTCAGTTAGAAACTGGCCAAATTTTGGTTCCCTTGAAGTCAGGATGACACAGAAAGATACAGAGAAAATAATTTCAGGCTTTGACGTTAGGGGGACTTACGTTTCAGGTCCAGTTCTGCTGGCCACTTGGTATGTGTGTTTAGGGGAATTTTATCCAGCATGAGCCTCAGTTTTTCCTCTGTTAACTAGGGATCAATAATACTTGCCTCATTTACTTGTCAAGATTAAATGAATGAACATGCTCGATAGCTGTCAATATCCATCCCTTTAAAAATAATTTATAGTTTTACTTTGTGGTTCATAATGGATGTGTTCCCAAAATTTGTGTGTGCGCATGAACATACACATGTGCACCCACACATAAAATAGAATTTTAAAAATTATATTTAATTTGACATAAAACAGATAAATTTTCTTTATAAAGTAATCCTACTGTCGCTGTTTTTGAAATAGGAGTAGGATGCCCCTGGTTTGTTTTTATTTGAAATTTTTGGGTTGGGTACAATTTGTTCTGCAGCATGAATTCTCAGTCTTCTGCATTATCAAATAATCACTTTATATTTGTATTCACTTTAAACTGAAATAAATATAGCTTCTTGGTCTCCAGTGATTTCTGGTCCCCAGAACTTTTTGTTATACATATTAAAACAAGGCAGTATATCATAGTGGTTAAGATTACTGGAAGCAGACTGCCTGGGCTCTTGGCTAGCTTGGTCTTTACCAACTATGTGGCTTTGGGAAACTCTTAACCTTTTTTTACTTCCTTTTCTAATGTGCAGAATGGGGATAATAATAGTACCTATCTTATGTTGTTTTTGTAAGAATTGAAAGACCTGATATCTGTAGGTGTCTTGCATGTGATTAGTGGTAAAGAAAATTTATTTATTTCCAAAACCTATCCTAGAGCTTATGCTTATAAATTGTTAGAGGCAGAGCTAGTAGAGGGCATGCAGAAGCCTAGATTTTGGCAGTTTCTACCCCTTTATTTTTTCAATTTACGCAGAACACTCTTCACAAAACAGTTGTTTAAAATGGGGCTCTCCTTAGTGTTTTTGAGATTCTCTAGTGTATATTTAATTCTATTGCTCTTCCTAAGTGCTTCCAATGCACTTAAATGGCTTCACAGTTGAATTTTTCTCTCATCTGTTGTGGAATTCACTAAAGATAGTGTACAGCTATAAATAAGCCTACCCATGCAACCGTAACCATGGCAACCACCAGCCTTCAAACAGGGAGAGTGGGGCTTACAAGCTGGTCTCAACTTTACAACAGCCCAATACATCCCCTTTCAAATTAGGCAGCTCAGGCCTGTGCTTTGCACACAACACAGCCACTCGTTGCTTTCCACAAAGTCTCTATCGTTTACTTCAATCGAATACAATTCATTTCTGACTTTCACACATTCTTTGAAAGCACTGTACTGGATTCTGTGGGGGATAATAGAAATGACTTAAGCCAAGTCCTCCCACCAACATACAGTGGGGTCTTCCTAACATCTATGTTTCTCAGGTTACTCTTTTGCTGAAAACTCTTCAATGGCTCCCTGGTGGATATAGAATCCATCTCTTGCCTACATTTTCTTCTTTTGAGAGACAGGGTCTGGTTGTGTTACCCAGGCTGGAGTGCAGTAGTGCAATCATAGCTCACTCTTGCCTACTGTATTCCTCATTATCCTTCCTATGACAGCCTAAACTCCAGGCTTCCTCTGAAAAATATATGTTCTCCAGTGGTGTTCTCTCTCTCTCTCTCTCTCTGTCTCTCTCTCTCTCTTTCTCTCTCTCCCTCTGAAGTTCTTTCCAGACTCCCTTATTTGCTTTGCAAGCTTTTAATTTTTCTCCAGTCTGAACTCAAGTGCTTTACCCTGTTAACTTTTCTGTTACGGTGTGGTTTTAAGATGAATTTAATTTGCATAGAAGCCAATCATTTTTTTCTTGTTCACATGAATTGTTCAATGGAATTAAGCACCTACCTCATTGGGTACTAGAAAATTAAAAACAAAACCAAAACAAAACAAAACAACAAGCAAAAATCCAAATCTCATTTATCAAAAAAGGCTATGTAGAGACAGCAAATGGCACTTGGCTCATTATTCCTTGAATCAGTGTAAAAGATGCTCATGATTGGATTTTTGTCTTTGAATGAAGAGGCCAGTGAGAGTGGTGAATGCAGGTATTTGGTAAAAGGTAGCTATTGATGTGGTAGACATTTATAAGGTAGAGTTTATAGAACTTGACTGATTATAAATGGGAGATAAAGGAAAGAGAGAAGCTGACTGTAAAGTCAAGATGACTGAGAGAGTAATGATGCCATCTGTTGAGACAGGAAACAGGGGAAGTATTAATTTATCTGGAAGGTGGAGTTATGCTTGATTTTTGACACATTATATCTGATGTATCATTAGAACATACA
This sequence comes from Homo sapiens, assembly GCF_000001405.40. Classification (NCBI taxonomy): domain Eukaryota; kingdom Metazoa; phylum Chordata; class Mammalia; order Primates; family Hominidae; genus Homo; species Homo sapiens. The sequence continues at coordinate 100,885,920 of NC_000009.12, forward strand.
TGTCTAGTACACAGTTGGGAATTCTTGCTTAGACCTCAGAAACAACTCAGAACTAGAGCAGTTGATGAGAAAATCATCAACATTTAGATGGAAATATATAGCGATGGCATGAACAAAACTGCTCGAGGAGAGTGAGATTGAGGAGAGACATCCACATTCAATAAGGAAACTTCAGAGAGGGAGACTCAGGAGTCTGTGAGAGAGGGGCAATGGAAGTGCTAAGGGCCCAGGCCAGGTGCAGAGACTGGCCTTGAGTAGGAGGATAGTCTCCCTTTGAACTGTATGAGATGGGGAGTGGGGTTACATGGGAATAGCACAGCCAGTGTCTTTTCTCCTCTCTGAACAAAGTAGGAGTCAAGGGCATCTTTAGAGGTGACGGTCTGGAGGCAGGAATGCCACCTTGATAAGAATATAATTGGAAGTTCTGCTGTGGGAAGTGATTCAGGGAAGGGAGAACATAACTAGGACTGAGTTACAGCAGCTGAAGTTGGATAATTTATCTCAAGGTGGAGTCCATCACTGCATTTGTGTGATTTCCTTAAGTGGGATTTAATAGTTTGGAGTGGGAATAAAAATGAATAAAAAGGAGGAGATGACCTCCAATCCCATTACATTTCCTCTTGCTTGCTCTACATTTTGCCCTCCTTCCTGTTCCTTGAATACAGCTGGAATACCAGATGTCCCACCTGCAGGAATTTTTCCGGAAAGCTAACTGCTTGATTTACTTCCTTTCTGTCATTGCTCGTATCTGACCTTCTCCATGAGGTCTACCCTGACCATCCTGTTTAATATTTTAACTTCAATTTTCTACATTTCTGATCTCCCATCCTCTCTACCCCTTCTTTTACCCATCACACTTACCTCCTAACATATTAAATAATTTACTCATTTATCATATTTACTGTTTATTCTCTGTCTCCCTTCACTGGTATGGGAGCTCCATGAGGACAGGAATCTTTACTCTATGATGTATCCTAAATGGTCAGAACAGTACCTGGCACATAATAGTGGTTCAATAAATATTTGTTGAATAAAATTAGGTTGACTGAAGAAATGTGGGTGTCAGTGAAGGCATATATTGTTTATTAGTTTTGGTCGAACCAGAAACAGAAAATCCGTATGAAACCTAAACTTTTTACTGTTATCTTTTTTATTTACTTTGTAACAAATTTCTTAGGTTATAAAATTAAATTATGCCCTCTCCCTCTTCAGATACCCCCTTCTCCCTCTCCTTCCATGTTCAGTTGTAGTTATAACCTACTCTGTTAGATCACTCACTCACATCTAAGAATAAAATCATCTCAATATGATTGTTTTTCATACAGGCATTTTGCCTTCTAAATTTCTCTCTCTCACTCTTTCCTTATCTATCTAGACCACTGTTAATTCCAGTAGTCTAGAAGTGTTTGGAAGTTGGAGGAGGTATTTTGTTGTAGGTGGCAGTAGTGGGGAAGACCATGATGACCATGGCATAGGAAGAACTTCTTCTTCTACCTTTACATGAAATGGCACTTTTTTCCTGCCACACTTCTCTGTAGAGTGCTGATGTTTCCCTAGAAAAAGATTCCCTTTTTTGCCCAATGAATTCTAGATAATCAGGTAAGTGAACTCAGTTGCAAGATTCAATGAACTATTTTAATGTTTCGTGGAGTTATTCTACATATTTACCTAAAAAACAGTCTTGAGACTGCGAGATTTTATTATTTGTTTTTCCGTATATTTGAAGATCTGGTAAAAGTGATAAAACTAACTTTACAGCAGGTATGTTTTTTAACTTAAAAAGATTAGTGACTTTAAGTCAGATTGAGACCGGGTGGGGGTGGCTCTTCTCAGAGGAGCAAAGCAGGATTTCCTGCCCTCTCCCAACAGGGGAGGACCCTGCTTCTTACTCACACAGAGTCTGGGGCTTAGCAGGTCAGCTCTCATTTTCCTCTCAACCTCAAACTTAGGCAGGCCCTGCTTGTCTTTACTGCGGGGACAATCTTTTTCAAGCTTCCTCTCCTGCCCCTAATCCTTTTCACAAATATTCAATGGAAATTAGTAAAAAGATTCTGTGGATGGGTAAGAATCCCCCCTTGTCTGGGGCCCCCAGTCATTCTAAACTGTTGTGCCAACCCAAACTCATCATTTAACATGTTATTAAAGCCTCAGATGTTTTATTCTTGCCAACTTCTGTGGTGGCTACCTCCTACCTCCACTTCTTTGCTGAAGATGAAACAGCTGTGGGATTCATTTCTTCTCAGAGGGTGTTGCCATCTTTTTGGATTTTAGTGCAGTAGGTTACCTTGCAGCCTCAATTCTCTGTGGAGACTAGATGTTTTTTATAGGCTATCAGACTTGCTCTTATTGTTAGGGTAGGAGTGACTTTCTCTGCTGACTTTTTGCATCCTAGGTGCAAGACAGAATATACTTTTAGTATCTGGAAGAATTATATGGTTCTTTTCCCAATCTGTTTGGCTATTCCTAAATCACTTGGTTTTCTGCTGACATTTTAAAGATTTTTAAACATTTCTTTAAACACGTAAGATATAGCTATTTTGTGTTGTGTCTAAGAATACCATTGTCTAGAATCTTTGCTGGTCCGACTTTGCTTATTATTGTTTTGGATGCTTTCAGTGGTTGTTCTTTGGGTTCTTGTGTGTTTTGGGATTTTTGACTGTGAACTCATGTTCTTTGGAACTTTATCTATGGGAATTTTCTGAAGCCTAGATTGCATTACATTCTTTTAGAAAGAATTTGTGTTTACTATTCCATGGAGCATAGCCAACTATTTTATATCAAATTATCTGCCTGAGGTTTTTCAGACTATACTGGTAGCATGAGTGGTAAGTTTTATCTATGAATTCTCAGGTATGGTATTTTTCTTCTCCACCCAGCACCAGGGCCAAGACAATTTGGTTTCCAAATAATGCTATTTTGCAAGATGGATTTACTTCACATCCCCACCATTATATGTACGATGAAAATCTTAGATGTTCCAGCTTTATTTGGGGCCTTGTGGAGGAGGGATTTGCCTATTTTACCTAAAGACCTGTGACTTTTTCTGTCTCCTCAGTGCCCTGTATGGCCATCAAAAGAGATATAGTTCTTCACAAAAAACTTAAGAAAAAATTACTTTTTTGCTTGGTTTCCTACCAAGATTCCTTTTACATCTTAATTTGACTTCTGTAGATTCTTTACATTTGTACCTGCTCTGTAATCAATTATTATTATTTTTAAAATTTAATTTAATTTTAAGTTCTGGAATACATGTGCAGGACATGCAGGTTTGTTACATAGGTAAACGTGTTTCATGGTGGTTTGCTGCACCTATCAACCCATCACCTAAGTATTAAGTCCTGCATGCATTAGCTATTTATCCTGATGCTCTCCCTCCCTCCATCCCCCCACCCAGAAAGGCCCCAGTGTGTGCTTTTCCCCTTCCTATGTCCATGTGTTCTCATTGTTCAGCTCCTACTTATAAGTGAGAACATGCAGTGTTTGGTTTTCTGCTCCTGTGTTAGTTTGCTGAGGATAATGGCTTAAAAAAATCAAGAAACCTCCTCCTTTAATACACTCAAAAGAACAAAATAGATTTTCCTTTTATTTTTAATTGATAAATAAAAATTATATGTATTTATTGTGTACAACATGTTGTTTTGAAATATGTATACATTGTGGAATGGATAAATTGAGCTAATTAGTGTATGCATTACTTCACACACTCATCTTTTTTTATTGTTATTAAGAACACTTAAAAACCTACTCTCTTATTGATTTTTTTGTTTGTTTGTTTGAGATGGGGGTCTCACTTCATCACCCAGGCTGGAGTGTAGTGGTGCAATGATAACTTACTCTAACCTCAAATTCATGAGCTCAAGTGATCTTCCTGCCTCAGCCTCCTGAATAGCTCTGACTACAGGCATGTGGCACCATGCCTGGCTAATTTTTATTTTTATTTTTTGTAGAGATAAGGTCTTACTATGTTGTCAAGGCTAGTCTTGAATTCCTGAGCTTAAGCTATCTTCCTGCCTCAGCTACCCAAAGTATTGGGATTATAAGCATGAGCCACCACACCTAGCCTCTTACTGATTTCTGAGAATACAATGCATCGTTATTAACTGTAGTTACCATGTTGTATATCTCTTGAACTTATTTTTCCTAACTAGTTGAAAGTTTGTATTCTCTGCACAACATCTGTCCGCTACCACCCTCCACCCCAGCCCCTGATCATCACTATTAACTCTCTGCTTCTACAAGTCCAACTTTTTAAGATTCCACATTTAAGTGAAGCTTGGTGTTTGTCTTTCTGTGACTGCTTATTTCATTTAACATAATGTCCTCCTGGTTCATCCATGTTGTTGCAAATGATAGGATTTCCTTCTTTTTAATCGCTGAATAGCATTCCATTGTGTATATATACCTCATTTTCTTTATCCATTTGTTGTTTGATGAACACTTAGGTTGATTCCATAATGCAGCAATTGTGAATAGTGCTGCAGTAAACATAGTAAAAAATAGTGCTGCAAGCACTGCAGAGAGTGTGGACATTTCTTTGACAAACTGATTTCATTTCCCTTCGATATATACCCAGTAGTGGGATTGCTAAATCATATGGTAATTCTATTTTTAATTTTTTGAGGAACTTCATACTGTTTTCCATAATGGCTGTACCAGTTTAAGTTTCCACCAACAGTGTGCAGGAGTTCCCTTTTCTCCACGTCCTTGACAACACTTACGGTCTTTTGTCTTTTTGATGACAGCCATTCTAACATGTCTGAGGTGATATCTCATTGTGATTTAATTTGCATTTCTCTAATGATTACTGATGTTGAACCTTTTTTTCCATATGTCTGTTGGCCATTTGTATGTATTATGATGCAATTTCTGAAAACTTCACAAGCATGCAAAATCCTATAATATGGTGTCTTTAAAGAGGTTCATGAAAGGGTGCAAAGGGCCCTGAAAAGCACTCTTGAATATAGGTTTCTGATAGCTTTAGAATCACATCATTTGGACTAGATAAGAATTCCTAGAACTTCAATAAAAAGACTGGTTTGTAAAACTGCTAACTCAAACAGAACAAAAATTAATTGAATACCAAGAAAATACTTTGCCAGATTTTCATGCTAAATCAGCCAATACTGAAATTGTTTAGGTACACAATTTGAATGAACTCCATGGTCTAAGTGAAATTACCTATGGTAACCCATCAGTTGTCAGTGCTATGCACCTAAAGTGGAGAAACAACTTCAAGAGGACATAAGTCCAATGTTAAGCATGGAGAACCAGGATGGCCACTGTGTCCTTCCTGAGTCCTTAAGGCTTTTGGCTTTTTTTTTTAAATTACAAGTTCTGCATCATGACTCATCATGAAAAAGATAAAATGATCCAAATTAAATATTATATTGGTATGGTGACTTCTAAATTGCTAAAATAGTTTATGACCGACATGTGGTTTTGTCAAACCCATATTCCTGAAAAGACAATCAAAACTTCAGGTACATTTCACTACCCGATGGACCTTTTAAATATTTATAGACAGATTTCATCCAATTGTCATTTTCAATGCATGTTTTCTGGTTGTATGAAAGCTTTCCCATGCAAGAGGGCTGATGTTATAACAGTAGTTCATTATGCCACAGTGTATTTTCACCAGCTAAAGAAAGCTTTTCATGGTTCACTGACTGACTGAGGACAATCAATCCCTTTACAATCCAGAACCCAAAGATTAGATCTGAGAACATCAGAGAAAGAATGCTCTTGTCATCCACACTGCAGCAAAACTTCAGGACCTTGAATCTTGGGTTCATAATCTCTCAACTCAGAAGGATCCCTCCACACTCTTGGAATGTATACCCATTGGAAACCTTAAGGTAAAGCTAACCAGGGAAATTTCTTCCCAGAAGAAGATAGCATCCTTAATGGAAATAGCTTTTCCCCCCCAAATCACAGGTCAAGCTTTCTCTGCTATCATGAGACTCTTTCACTTTTTTCCCCTTACTTATGCCTCTATAAACAATAGAAGTGTACAGGGAGTCTGTTGTGTGTACTCATGGGGTATAATTTTACTTGTGAAGGATTTTGTAGCCAAACTTATACATTTGATAAACTTATGCCTTGATAGATGAAAGACGAAGGCTCAATGTAGGTGAGAAATTTTAATGGTACCTACATTGCCTCATAATCAGTCAGAAATAGAACATTGGTTCATTCCTCTTAACCCACATCATAGGTTAAAGAGAACATTGACAGGAGGTCTTTACTCTTCTGGAAGGGCATCAACTGTTAGGTTCTTTTGCCATGGTTTGGAGTAAATGAGGCAATGATTAGAAATTTATCCCTCATGATAGGCTCTATAGCAGATTCTACTATAAAGGCTATGGTTACACAACAGACTTTAAATTCTCTTGTGAAAGTTATGCTAAATAATAGAATTGCTCTAGATTACTTACTGACTAAACAGAGAAGTATCTGTGCAGCTGCTGGCACTTGTTGCCCATGGAGGAATACATCACATCAGACATTACAGAGATTCAGTTGTAGGAGATTAATGAAGAGACTGCTTAGTTAAAGTGAGTAGACTATCTAGCTCATTTTTTAATGTATTTGATTTTAGGTGGTTTGGTTTATGGAGCCCTGGCTAAGGAGCATACTCCAAACTTTTGGTATTATCCTCCTGATAGTCATAATAGTAGTCTCCCTGGTGCACTGTATTCTCTCAAAAGTTTTAAATGTTTGCATGCAGCCGTCTGTAGAATGTCAAGTGGTCTCTCTTCAACTGGAATGACAAGACCTGAAAGAAATGTGTGACCATGAGGGCACCATAATCTGTAAATGACGTGCTAAGACCAGAAACCCAAAATGATGGTAACTGAGAGAGGTGCTAAGGCCCTAAATTTTGGTCATACTCTCACCTAAGTGAGAACCTGACCAAAAGGGGGGAATTATTAAACAAAATTATGAGAGGCCATTGTTTTGGACTAAGCTCATGCAGTAGGCCCTAACAGACCAGACCAAACCAAAATGGAGTCACTTGTGCTAAATATGACTAATCAAACTAAGAGTTTAAAGAAACACATAGATTCTAGAACAGACCGGGTTTTGTTTTTTCCTCCTGTAAACAGGACATTCTAGCATATAAGGAGGTACCTCTACTCTAACCCTCACAAAAAAGGTAACCTAAATTCCTTGTTCCCACCTTACAAAACCCATGTCTGCTATTTCCCAGTGAGTTTAAACACCAAAGAAGTATATTTATGATGGTGATTGTGACATCAATGACTAAAGTTTTGGCCAATCTCTCAAAATTGAGAAGATGACCAAAAGGGGGGAATTGTTAGACCAAGTTTAGCCTAAATCTGCCTCCTTACATATTTTAAATTTGGCCTAAAGGTTTCTCTGTACTTTGCAAACTATAGCCTAAATGGAGTTATATACAAACTGTAGTCTACTCTTGTGTCAATCACTGAGTTTTGGCTGATCAAAGGTGGCCAACTGTTCAAACCGTGTTCAAATAAGGAAAAGCCGAGCTATAACCAATCCAGCTGTTTCTGTACATCATTTCTGTTTTCTGTATGTCACTTTCCTTTTCCATCCATAAATCTTCTTCCACCACATGGCTGCACTGGAGTCCCTGAGCTTGGGAGACTGACTGAATTGTACTTTGCTCAATTAAACTCTTTTAAATTTAATTTGGCTAATGTTTTTCTTTTAGCACTACATTCAGGAAATGTAGAATAATTTTAAAAAGTAAAATAGTCTTGATATATGTATTTCCCTAAATTCCAGTCTCATAATTATATGGATCTGGGATGGTTTATTTTTGAGATAAGAGTATTTTTGATATTCTTGCTCCCTCTTCTTTGAACAACCCATGATTTTTTCCATACATCTGATTTAGCACTTGGGTTCTACCAGAGAATTAAACCCTACAGAAAATGATTTTAGTGACTACTTTCTCAACTTTCCCAAGGACAGTACAAGCTAGTACCATTTTAGATATATAAGGGAAGTTAATTTATTCTGTACAATGAGTACCTTAGGCTGGAATTATAGTTAATTCTCTTATGGAGCCTCACATGAAAACAGCTGCTAAGCACTATGCTACGTGTCATTCTTGAGGGGTCTCTTCAGCTGACTCCAGTCATAAAGGAAGCAGGAAGCCCAGCTTTTTAGAGAGATTACACAGAAGATGAGAGAAGGTCTTCTACTGTAATTCATTGCGGTATTCCCATGTCTTCCACATCCCGTTCCTAAATGGTAAGGTGATTAAAAACATGCAACAGTTTGGTAAAGAAAACATGATTTATGAGATAGGCCATAGTTTTAGAAATGTCATTTGTTTTCATGGTTCAAGGAGAGTTTTCTTGATTAACAAAAAATATTTGAGTCTAATTTAAAAATGTGAGTTTTAATTCCTACTCTCACCTTTTTCTCTGTCTTCACTCCATGTAGGATGAAAACCTGACACCAAACAGAGGCTAGTGAGTCACTTTGGTTCTATTTATACCTAAATGATTATTAAATTGATTTTAAATCTCTCAAGTTCATGTACTCTTGGATAACAGCTGTGGTGTAAGAGTAGAGAATTAACTTTGAGTTAAATTATAAATATCAAACAGTATGTCCACTTCCAGTAGGATGCAACAGAACAAATCACTGGTAAATGTGAATTCTTCAAATTATTTCAGTATGCCCTAAGCCATTTACTAAACTTTATTATACCTGTTACCCCAAAGAGCCATTTTTTTCCTAAAATATAGATCAGATTCTCTTTCACTCCCATATTTAAAAACACTTAAAAACTCTCTGTTGCATGATGAATAAAATAAGAGGCTCTTATTGAGGAATTCAAGGCCTTTCAAAATCTAGTTTCAATTAGCTTCTCTTGCCTTCTCCATCCCACAAAGCTCTTGGTTTGGATATGATGCATACCCTTTGTCCTAATATGTCATGCCTTTGCTCATGCTTCTCTTTCAACTGGAGTGCCCTTTTCTGCTTCTCCATAAGCTAAACTTTTATTAATCCCTCAAATGTCAACTCAATATCATCTTAGCTTTTCTTTAAGAAGAGAATAATAGAGTGGTTCTCAAATATGGTTGAACATGGGATCACTAGGTAACTTAAAAAAGAGAAATACCAATTCTGAGTCCTACACCCAGAGATTCTGATTTATTTGGTCTGAAGTAGGGCCTGGGTATCAATACATTTTTTAAGGTTCCCAGGCAAATCAAACATGCAGTCAAGTAGAACCCTTAGAAGTATGGTTAAGAGCCCAGAATAGTCAGACTGTAGGTAAATCTTGATTTTACTACTGTGTATTTTGTTGCTTAACTTCTCTACATCTCATTTTTCTCATCTATAAAATTGAGAAAATAATCTACTTAATTCTTAGGGTTGCTGTAAACATTAGCTTAGATAATACAGGTCAAGAACTTAGCCTAAAACCTGACATAATAAATGTTAGCCATTATCAATAGAAAAAATAGTTGTTACTCCTGGGTTCTGGCCTTTATAATTCCCTTTTAAACTCAAAAATTAACTCAGTTATAATCTTTACCACAATGTGTTTGTGTTTCTCCATCCCTAGCTTGTATCATACTTGAGAGCAGCAGCCTGGCCCTACTAGTTCCTGCCCTCGGCTTCCTATTCGATCAGAATTATTTCCTTTTGACCTTTTCTCTTTAATAAAACATATTTGAAGACATCATTCTCTCTTTGGAGGAAAACTGCAATAAGATCTTAACTAATCTCCCTACCTGGGCTCTTCCCTGTTAACTGTATCATACATGAGTTTTTCACCTTCTCTGTGCTATTAAAGGCATTGTGAAAACTGTTCTTATGGAACTCACAGTTCTTTATTTCCAAGTTTGACTTGATTTTCAACTATGAGCTCTTTGAGGGGCAAAGTCTGTATCTTATGTCACTTGCACAACTGGCTTTTAGCAGTTTCTAGGAACATAGTGCGCTCAACTTGCAGGAAGGGAAAAAAAGGAAAGAAGGATGAAAGAAAGAAATTTGGAGAGGATTAGATAGTATTTCTGAGCCTAATTAAAAATATAATTGAAAGAAGTCTCTAAAAAATTATATTTTAAGAAATGACATAGAACAGAGGGAAGATGTGAATATGAAGAAAATCTAAGGCAACATAAATTCATAAATCATTGCGAAGCGGTCACAGACTGTACTGGAAGTGTTTTAAAGATTCAACATTGATACTTTAATCATTTCTCAAGCTCTTCAATAGAGTTTTCTAATTATCTGCCTATGCCTTCTTCTTCCCTACCCCTTCCACGTTGCTATCAATCTAAGCTACTTTTATGACATGTCTTAAGATTGGAACACCATAATTAGGTGAATTTCTTACATGCAGACTATTGGATCATAATGTCCCTTGCAAAAGAGAAAGCTGTAAAAGTAAATAAAGATGTTAAATTCCCTTTGTCAGAGTGCTGATGAAGAATGCTTCAAGAAATAGAATAATAATGCTGAAGATCATTAAAATAAATCTAAATTTAACCTGTATATTCTTTATGATTATGATTAAATGGAAAATTAAAATCAGCTTAGTAGCTGTGCTGTTGAAATATTTTGTGGTATGTTATCAGCATACTTCAAATTTTAGTACCAAACTCATTAGAAGATATTTCAAATATCTACATTTTGCCTAACCAGAAGACCATTAAAATGCACATTGTCTTTTTCCTGTGGGAATTATATGCCACATCTTATTTACTAGCCTTGGAGCATGTTTCAAAGTACTTAGTATTGCTATTTATGATCCAAAGTAGACAAAATGAACTACAGTGTCTATTAAGTTGTAAAATGTAGTCAATGTTATGTTTTTGTTTTTTCTTCTTTTGTTTTCTTTAAAAATAGCGTTTATCTTGTTTCTATTTACAGAGTGATTCAGGCTCATTATTTAACATTTTGAAGCAAATAAGAGTAAAACAAAGTAAAAAAACTCATAATATCATGGCATTTTATTATTTTATGTTTTGTTTAAGCTTTTATTTCCTATGTGGAAATACATTAATTTAAAGAAACATCCTCCAGATATTGTTACATCCCTGCAATTTCAAATATTCAAAATATTTTTGCAGCTTAATTTTTATGTTCATTGGTAGTTTCAATGGGATCAGGGAAAAGGGGTAAGACATTTATTATTCTAGCACATCTTATCATGAATTTTCTGCAACAGTTTTTGAATGAGTTAAGAATGAATTGAGAATGAGAAGGAACCAGAATCTAGTTGCTAAGTGAAAGCTAGGAATCTATGCCAGGGGGTTAAGTTTGCTAATCTCATCTCAGAAACAGCAGCATCAGAGCAGGAAGGAGAGAGAGACACAAAAGTGAAGCCCATAGGAAAAAAGAGGCAAACCTAGAGAAATAGATCCCAGAAAGATGACTGAGTCTGAGGCGGGGTTTACACCTTTTATCTTGTTGTATTTGACATTAACTGTAAAAGAGAACACAGGAGACAAAGGGTCACTCTTCTTTTTCACTGTAAAGATTAAGGTGCATGCATACAAACACAGCTTATCTATACAGTGTCTTTATTTCAGAAGGCAAATTTTCATTTTTCTGACTCTGAAGGAAATCAGAGGATTTGGGCACTCAAGAGTGATACATACTTCAAATCAGCATCATGTACAGGATCATGTACAGGTGTGTGCACCACTGGGGGTGCTGATATCAATACCCTTGTAACTCTTAGGCAAACAATGGCCTATTTTATGCTTTGTATAAATCTCTCGTCTAGCAGACTAGAAACCCCATAAGAAAGTCCCATTTTACATCCAAGGAAGAGGCAGTTCATATAATTTAAATCATTTGTTCAAACCTACATAATGAAGGAGCTCAGACTTAAATTCAGATCTATTGACTGAAGGATGGTGTATGATATTAAAAAATCTTTGAAATCATCAAGGTGAATTCCAGAATATTAAAATCATGGGAACTCTGTAAGCTTTAAGGGTATGAACTAAATACCCTTAATGGGAAGAACAACTTCACATCAGATATGTGGAACTCATTTCCTCAAGATTTTGTGCCATGTGAGAAGATAAATCTGATCAAGAAAGATTCTCAGAAATTTGCCATAGGGAAATTATGGGTGTGAGTGTTTTAATAGATTTTCAAATTCTGTGGCTTTGTACTCTCACCATAAACAAACAAAAAACAACAAAAACCAGGCTTTGTCTTTTCATAACACAAAGTGAGGCAGCAAGGTAGTCCAGAAAAAATGTGCACTTTGGAGACAAATGTATTAAGGTCCAACATTTCAGCAGCACCACTAATTAGGTATAGGAATTGGGCTCACTATTTAATCTTTCTGAATCTATTTGAATTTTGACATCTGTACAAGGGGGCAATAATTCCTTTCTCATAAACTTGCTATGCTGATTAAATGAGATTATGGATTATGAAAAGCTGTCTAGAAATGTTGGCTGTTGCTAGACAACAACGATTTTTTTTAACTATACAGTGAAAAAAACCATTCTTCTAAAAAATGCCAGATGTTTTTCTTGGTTGTGTTTCAAAGAGCACTAAATATGTTTGCATCCTCCAGGGTGGTTGCTTTGTAAGCCAGGTGCGAAAAGGAGGCTCTTTCCCAGAGAGTTTCAACAGTGATATCAGCCAACTCACATAATTCAAGACCATCTCAAGATGCCATGTGGACCTGGTATCCATCTGTTGTTTGAGTAAATAATAATTTAATTTCTATTTTCAGTTAAACAAAATAGACAAGAGCATCTACCATTGCTTGTTCATTGACAGTTTGTCTGCTCCCTGAATAATTATTGCATCTCAGTTGATTGTTTCTATATCTAAATTTGGAGTGTCTCAAAATGAATTTCTTTAACCTTGGGTAAATATTGAAGCAATCAGTAGAAAATGCGGATCCACTTTTACCTGTATAATCAATTAACCTTGAACAATGTCTGACTGACTTCCCCTTTCCTAAAAATATTCTTCACCCACAGAACAAAATCCAAACCCTTCAAACGTGTACACAAAGGTCTTTACAAGTTAATCTCTGCTTTTTCTGCCTATCTTCCTTCCATGCTTTCTAGTCACAAAAACCTCGAGTGGCTTCCCAGAGTCCTCCACTGCTTGCATCTTTGTCTTTCTTTGTCGTCACACCACCTGCCTCAGGTCATTCCTTCATTTTCAGACTTGGATGAACATCACTCCCTAGTGTATGATCTGCATTCTTGAGCAGCTGTCAAGGGGCCAGCTGACCCACCACTGGGAGAACCTTGATCGATGAAAAAGTTGACAGACATTTTCTTTCTTCCTCTTCCTTGTAGACTGCTTCCACATGTGGTGCTTCCAGAGTTGTACTTAGCAAACGTGCTTGCTGAGTGGCATGCTCTGTCTCTCTGTTTGTGAGGCTATAGCTGTTGTAATGCATTGTATCACCCTGTATCACATCTTCCACCCCTCCCCCCAACACCCCACTCTATTTTCTGTTACTTTTGTGGTCCTGGGAATATACCTTGCAAATTAAGTGTTAGTGCCTTAAGACTTACTTCAGGTTCTGCTTTCTAGGGGACCTAGGCTAAAACACCATCATTCCTCAACTCACCAATCTTTTGCATTGTTTTTAGATATTCTACTTGGAATGTGCCTCCACTCTCCATTATTAATAAAGATCCAGTTGAATTGCTGATATCTCTGTGCTCTCATGGTACCTGGCACCTCTACTGTTACTAAAGCACACGACATGCTATTTTGTATATATGTAGTGGTGGGCAAACCTCGTCTGACAGGCTGTAACCTCCTTGAAGACAGGAAAATTGTCATTTACTCCTATATTGTTAGCATTTAGAATGGTGCTTGTCCTGATATAGTGCTCTCTAAAATGGTTTAAGGAATGAATAGGACCAAACAGATTTATGTGCTTTCTTTGGTTTATCTTGAGCATAATGGTCTAATGCTAAGGTATTTTATCATTATTTATCACTGGAAATGTGTTATATTATTATCTTTATGTGTGAAATAAAGGGAGCTCCTTTGACCTGGAACCAAGAGGAGAAAGTCATTTGAATGACTGTAATATCAGAACGTCTGACATGATCACTTCTTCTTACTGATATATGTATGACACATGCTTCTACAACACACATTTTAATCTGTCTTTTTTTGGACAAATTGGCAAATGATTGGTACATCTCTAGATGGTGTTACTCTAAAATTATTTGTGATATGTACAGTTTTCTAGAATGACTTACTAATTGTGATTCCACAGCTAACCTGGGGACAACACATAGTCAAATGGGCTTATGTAATGGGTCCAAAGGATAGAAATTTAGGAAGGCCTCAAAGGGGATTGAGGTAGTATTTTGTATTACCTAGATAAGCATTATGAATTTGGAATTATAGCAGCTCTAGGATTAGATATTTAGCCTACCATCTTGAATTTCTCCAATACAGTGTCCCCAAATGATACCTTCTCTTTCTTTACCTTTCCTCAGGTTGATATGTAGGATCTATATAATCTGTGTATTTTCCTGTTGACCCACAGATGGATCAACCTGCTCTAGTAAATGTCTTTATTAACAGATGCTAAAGACAAAATACCAAGAGAGAATGGAAAAATATGGGAGCAAATCTCCTAGGGCAATGGACAAAGAGTGCATTTTCTCTCTTAAATATATTACCTCTATGGTCTCTTCTTCAGTGCCTCTTTCTGCAGCCTTCTGCTTGATCCTCATATTGTCTTGGGAGGATTTAGTTGCAAAATTCATATGTAAGTATTTTTCTTTGGGTTAAGCTAGTACAGAGACATTTATTAATGTCCACAGTGTAAGGTACAGCAAGTGTCAAAAAATGTAATACTTTGCCAGCCAAATATTGTTGACCATTTATACTGATCCTATGACCCCCTCCAAAGGGGGCATAAATGCATAAATGCAGAGAAAAGTGGGTTCTGGTAGTACTTGGGCCATAGTTAGAGAACAAGCTCATGACTGAGAACTGAGAGACAGATACTAACATGCATTGAATGCCTAAGCACTATTCTAAGGTGTTTTATTCATATAATTTTTCAATAACAATACTGTGAACTAGGCATTTTATCTTCATATTACATATGAGGAAATTGATAACCCAGCTGGTTTAAGTAACTTGTCCAGGACTACACAGCCAGGTAGAGGCTGAACAATATGGTTGTCAACAATACCGTGGATATTATACCTTTCTGATGTGGCATGGTGAGGATTTTCCAGGAAGAAGACACTTTGGGTGACTTCTCACCTTTGTTACCATCTGTTTTCGTGCTTGGTGAAATATTATGCATCACACTATTCCAGGCACCACTTCCTGCAAAGGCAGCCATTTCTCAAGTAACTCTTCTGTGTGACTAAGGCTGTTTATAGTGGTAGTTGAGACTGGCAGTTCAATAGTTAATGCCTGGTGGCATAAAGCATCCCACAGAGTGGAACCACTGAGTGAGAATTTCAGCATATTGGACTTTGGCAGACACAGGGTGAAGCAAATGAGCTTCCTGACATAGGCAGGTATCCCATTCCATTTGACATCAATTGAAAAGCTTAAAGAATGTTCTAAACCTTCCCAATCTCTTCTCCTGCAGGGATAATATCACATGATTTCTGAGGAGAACAGAAAGTTTATTTTGTGCACTTTGAAAATTTAAGAACTCAGGTATAAGTTCTTATAATTTGAACAGTTCAACAGAATGTTCAGATAAAAGGTTGTGAAAGCTTTTTCCTTCCTGTTGTCTCTTTCAGTTATAATGGTTGAGAAGCCACTTTAAGTGAAAGACATTTCTTTCCTCTTTTCAAGATAAAGGCTCAAGCCCTAAGAATCTGCCAAAATAAACTATTTCACATAACAATTTATTCAGAAAAGAAGCACATGTGAAAATTTCTTAATTGTTCACAAAGCTCTCCTACTTTCATATGTAAAGGAAGTATGAAAATGTAATAATAGTAAGTTGGAGCCTAATAAATTGTGATTGTTGAGAGAAAAACATAAAAACAGGCTTACTCAAGGTGAGTTCCATTTCTTTTTAATTACACCATTTTATTTGTTATGTCTACTCTCATGTATTCACAAGAAGCCTTGTCATCTTCTGTATGGCTGCCATGTCTTGCTTTCTTTTTAAATCTAAGATGACTGAAATTGAATGCATTCACCTCTTCTGAAAGCCCACTTTCACTCTTGGCCCTGTGATCCCACCAATTTTTAAAGGCATGGTACTATCCTTACCTACTGCAATTCATGGAACCATTTTAAAGTCCCCTTTCTGTTGGTTGCCTCTCCAAATAGTCACCCTTCTCTTAATTGACTTCCTCTCGTCTGCTCCAAACTTCATTCCTTCCCAAGCCTTGCAGTACGAGATTCAAAACTCCAATTTTTATTAACCAATCCCACTGCCTATGGAACTTCATGATCCCTTATTTCTGGCCAGGCAGTTCTGGTCATGGTCCTTCTAAGGCATGATGACATTCCAGAAACTATTCTGCGTATCATTGAATTCAGTCCTCACCATGAGTGCTGGCTGGTTGAGCATTGAACCCAGGCAGGTAATGGGCTTTATTGTGGGAATTTGGCAGGTAATGTAACCACTCCATGTGTTTGTCTCCTTATTTGTAAAATGAGGATAATTCTGGCATCTACCTCATTGGGTTATTGTGAGGATTTAATACAGGCATGTATTAACAGTTTCTAGCCCATAGGGTGTGTTCGGTAGATGTTGGCTGTTGGTATCAAATCATATAGAAGGAGACCCAAGCACAGACAGATTAGGCAATTGCCAAGATGCTGTAAAGTTAGTGAAGTTGCAGTTTGAATCATGTCTGACTTCAGTATCCACTTAAATATAATGCTATGTGGCTTCTCTTCACAGCATTTATACCTGCAGTCTCTTCTCAATTTCTTTACTTCAAGTAACAGCTTAGATCTCTGAACTATTAGTACTGCACTCTCCACCTCCTACCTCTGAGATGCCATGCAAACCATAGAGAGGTAGCAGGTGGCCCCAGTTTGTGCCTCTAGCCACAAGCCAGGAGGCTGTGATAGCCTGCTGCTGACTCCTCCTGGGCTCTGAACACCTTGAGTGAAACACCTGATTTAGGCAGGAGCAGGATACCTGGATTGAGGACCTCAATGAGGTGAGCTGATCAATGCATTCTTTTTACGTCACAAAAGATTTCTAAAGAGGCACAACATGTATATTAGGATGCCAGAGCTGACAGAGAGACCCAGGGTCTACTTAGGGATCACACTCTGGTGAAAGTCAATTTTCAGTGCAGGGATCATGTTCATGGCTTGAAGATTCCTGTTATACTCCTGACAACTTCCAAACAAGTCAACTTCCAAACAAGAAAAAAACTGTTGAGATTCATGATTACTAGCACAGGACTAGGTTAAATAGTTTAGGAAGAGAAAAATGTCTAGAATGCTAGAAGAAAGAAAAGAAAGGATAAAACTAATGTTTATTATGTGAAGATCTTTTCTGTGCCAGGCACTATTTCAGATATTATCATATATTCATTAATTTGGTCCATAAAAATTTAATGAGCATTTTTTATGTTCCAGGATAGCCTCTGATAGGTCCTAAGGCACTGGGACTAATACAGCAGGCATGCTCTTTCCATTTATAGAGCTTAGATTCTTGCACAGGGAAAGATGTAGAGCAAACATTTATATATCCTTTTTTTCAACTTCTGAGAGGAAGGAATGTATTTCCATTTACGAATGTGGAAACTGAGTCCCAGAGAAGTGAGCTATCTTGCTTAATATCACAGGTCCATTAAGAAGCTAGGTTTTATATCCAGTTATTTCTAGACATTAATTTTGATATTCTTCCATTTGTCACAGAATCTCTTCTGCCGTTAACTTTACGGTTAGCTTTGTAGCTAACATTAGATTAAACAATAAATTTGAGAGGCAAGCTAGTGAGATTTTGACATATATTGGATTGTTCTTCAGGAAACTAGCCAGATGCTTTTATTCAGCTTCCTAAAAATTTTCAATATCAGAGTTCTTAATAGTGACTCCTGCTTAAGCATCAGGTATATTAGGCACAATTATTTCTGAGTAGCTCAATAACAATAATTTTTTTCTACCAAATCCCTTAAAAGGTACACATTGATTCAAAATAAAATTAGTTCCAAGTTTAATTGTCTGCCTCTCACCCCCAGGAAGTAGATTCCCACCGAAATGCCTGAAAAGATATAAAAATAAAGAATGCTTTTTATCTACACTAGAAAATAGAGGCCAGGCTTGGTCATTCACACCTGTAATCCCAGCACTTTGGGAGGCTGAGGCGGGCTGATCACCTGAGGTCAGGAGTTCAAGACCAGCCTGGCCAACATGGCAAAACCCCATCTCAACTAAACATACAAAAATTAGCTGGGCATGGTGGCACACACCCATAGTCCCAGCTGCTAGGAGGCTGAGGCACGAGAATCGCTTGAACCAGGAGGCAGAGGTTGCATTGAGCCGAGATTGTGCCTCTGCACTCCAGCCTGGGCAACAGAGCAAGTCTCCATCAAAAAAAAAAAAAAAAAAAAAAGCCACCCTTTTTCAGGCTGGGTGTGGTAGCTCACACCTGTAATCCCAGCATTTTGGAAGGCTGAGGCGGGTGGATCACCTGAGGTCAAGAGTTCGAGACCAGCCTGGCCAACATGGTAAAACCCCGTCTCTACTAAAAATACAAAAATGAGCCGGGCCTGGTGGCATGTGCCTATAATCCTAGCTACTTGGGAGGCTAAGGCAGGAGAATCGCTTGAACCCAGGAGGCGGAGGTTGCAGTGAGCTGAGATTCTGCCACTGCATTCCAGCCTGGACGACAGAGCAAGACTCCATCTCAAAAAAAAAAAAAAAAAAAAAAGGAAGAAGAAAAGAAAATAGGAAAGGATGTATGTTAATTAGAATAGGCTTGAGAAGGCTTCACTAACAACCTCAAATCTTAATCTGTGCATTTGTCACAACGAGGGTTTATTCCTCTCTCCTCTACTCTTTTATGTCTTTGTTAGGATATCAACATTCTAGCAAAATCTTATCTGCAAAACTTTCTGGTCTTCTTCCTCTAATGCCACATTTTTAAATTCTCTGTTTTATTTTTCTTTATAGCTTTTTTAAAACAATAGATCTGATTTGCCATAAATTTATTATTCATTTATTGTTAGTTTCCCTGTTTCATACCACTAGAATGTAACTCTATGAAGGAAGAACTTTTTTCCTTTCATTTTTTGTTGCTATATTTTCATTGCCTAAAACAGGTTATGGGGCATGGTAGGCCCCAGATCAACCAAGATTTCCTGAGTGAATGAATTAATTTAATGATGAGGAAACTGAGGCTAGAGAGCACTATACATCTCATTCTGCCTCATTTTATATTTATCATTATGTTTTTGAGATCTTTCCATGTTGGTATACATAGATCTAGCTAATTCCTTTTAACACAATATTATATAATTTGAATATGTCAATTTTTTTTTCTATTTCACCATAGATGAGCATTTAGGCTGTTTTCAATGTAAGACTTTGGTGTTAAGTGTGGAGTAGAATGTTTTCAGTTGGCTCAGAAATGCAGAAATCGGTTAAGGTCTAAAGCTAAGGGCAAACATGCCTCACGTTCTCTTCATGGGACCATCATCCACAGGTACCATCTGCCTCTCTTCAGGCTTGCCCTCTCCCAACCGGGTATAATAAGGGGCCTGGAAGAGAGAAGGAGGTATCCTCTCGGGGAGTACTGTATTCACACAAGGAAGTTTTCTCCTTACTTACCTTGCGCTCTTTCTCTCTCTCTGTGTGTGTGGGGGGGGGGGGGCGGGGGCGGGGGTGAGGGGAGAGGATAGCACATATCCCCTTCCTGAATCCTAGGAAAAGAGTCCACAAAAAATCATTTATGAAGTGCTGGGGTGCCAAGATTAACTCCCCTATACTACATTTTGAGTCAGGGAAATTCTCTTCTGCAAGTTGCTGATGTCTGAGATGTTGGAGAAAAAGGAAGAGAATAGAGGATAGATCTAAGGGAAGGAGCACCTGGAAAGCTCCCAGAATCTTCTCTACTTGGCATGGCAAGGCCATGCTCTTTTTCTGTCTTTTAGGTGAAGAGTACATTTCTTTGGCACTCTCATTTAAAGGTTTGAGTTGAAATATTGTACATTCTGTGTTGGTCTTTCATCTTTCATCATTTACTTAAAAGTTGTTTTCTTTCTTCTTACTCTAACCATGTTCTTCTAAAGGCCCAAAGTTTCAAGTGAAAGGACCAATATAAACGATTTCATGTGTGGTTGTGGAACTCTTTACTAGGAGGACACAATGTCTTTAAAATATGAAATGAGGAAAACAATGCTGTATTCAGGAGCTCTAGTGGTACAAAAACAATTTTTGATTATTTATAACAAAATAGTCCTACTTGAGGGCTTTAAGTTAGATACCTAGAATAACTTTTAGATACATTAAAAACAGTTTCCAAGCTGCCTTTAAATTTTCCTGAGTATGATTTACTTTTTAATTAAAAATAACACTCAAAATATATTTAAAGTGATTAAAAGTATCAGATCATAATGCAATATGACGACATCATTTATATATAATTAGTTAATAAGGTATTTCCGATTGAATCTCATTATTTACATTGATCGTGCCATTTCTGGATTGTTCATATCTTCTACCAGACTCCCTACATATAAAATGTTTTGTAATTATTATGTTTTCCACAAGTGTTGGGATAGTTAATGCTTGTGAATGTTTCTTAAAAGACGTAAGAGTTTTTATTTAAGTTATAGTGGATGTAAATCATGCACTTAAGTTTCTGAATATTCACCCTGTGATTTCCTCTGACTCTTTTCCAGATCCTCTTATTGCATATTGTACTTGAATGGACTCTCATTGCCAAAGTTTTGATTAAGTAAATGTCGTAACTGGAAATTAAATTATAAGCACTTATCAAATTGCCGTCAAGTGATATTGATCTTTAAATGTAACCTATATATTCAATGCAGCATGTAAGGTGTGGGCTTGCTATCTATGAAATTAGCTGTAGGAATAAATTGGGTACACTACATTCTTCATCATGCTTTTAGTGTCCATTAAACCAATTACTAAAAAGTAGGAGGAGGGTGGATGAAGAAAGCCATTGTGAATGCTGGAGATTTTTAAATGTATAGTGTTACCAATGTGGAGAGGGCACTGCACTCTTCACTTCTTTATAGTTTCTCCTTAGGAATTCTCTTTTTTTTTTTTTTTTGAGACGGAGTCTTGCACTGTCGCCTGGGCAGGAGTGCAGTGGCATGATCTCAGCTCACTGCAACCTCTGCCTCCAGGCTTCAAGGTATTCTCCTGCCTTAGCCTCCCAAGTAGCTGGGATTACAGGTGCCCACCACCATGCCCGGCTAATTTTTTTTTGTATTTTTAGTAGAGACGGGGTTTCACTATGTTGGTCAGGCTGGTCTCAAACTCCTGACCTCATGATCTGCCCACCTCGGCCTCCCAAAGTGCTGGAATTATAGGCATGAGCCACTGCCAGGAATTCTTTTCTAAAGGAGTTTCTTTACTGCCCTTCATCAGATTCTACTGGGTGTCTCTAACTTACCGCATCTCAAACTGGTACTTCTCTGGAAAAATGCTACTGTGGGCAGAATTTCCTTTACATTATGGCTCCTTGTGAGTTTTTGTCCAATCACAAGAGATTAGAGGAGCTGCTGCCAATATTTCTTCACCAGCCCCTTGCCCATCACCTTCTATTAGGGAGAACAGGTGTCCCACCAGACAGCTGTAACTGCTGAGGGGGCATCTGCAGCTGCCAGGATAGTACCAAGGTTCTGCAAATCAATGGCCAGATTTCTGCCTGAAGGCACCAAGGTTTAGAATTTCCCGTACAGGGAAAATTACCTCCAACTCAGAAGGTGAAAAAGAACTTCATGGAGGCTACCTCCCTATGGGAACTCCTGCCAGCACACAGTGAAGCCCCGAGTTAATTGCATGTCAGCACTGACTTTCCTGTCAGGAGGACTGTGACAACTGGGTCATGCTTATTTTAATCCCAGCTGAGGAAATTGGGGAATTAAAATAATTGCCTGGATATTTCTAAGTCAAACTGGAGCAGAAACCGAAGTTCACAGATAAAGCTTCTCTCCTGGCTAAATTTCATCTTACACTCACTTTATGCTTTCTCTCTCCTCCTCCCCGTCTCCTGTTCCACTCCTGCACTTCCCCCTGAAATACTGGATGGTAGTGAAAAGAGCTTTGGAGTTAAAAAGATTGGCCTCACAACCTCAATTTTCCACTTATTTGCCAGCATCACTTTTGGCAAATAACTTTGTTTGTTGAGCCTCCATTTTTTCATCTATCAAATGTATTGTTGTGAGAATTAATGAGTTAAATTATGTGAACAGTCTTGAGTTTGGTACATCCTCAGTACATCATTAAAGACTAATACCTTTATCTTTCTCAATATTATTTCTCCATTTTATCCATACTAGGTCTTCACAGCTCCAGTCTACAAACTTTCAAAGCTTATCCCGATACTCTGAGACCATAAAGGATTATTCAAACAATAAACCACATCAAGCACTGTTCAGCTACAGATAAATTTAATGCCATAGCTATTATCTCATTCATTGGCTAACTGATTAATTGGTTGATGGATTCATTCATTGAAAAATTGTTTCATAAGCAACACTGTATTCTGGATGCTAGCTGTATCAGGAGCTGGGGAAGAGGACATCTTTTTAAGGAGATAAACAAGAGTTGAGTCTGGGATGGTAGAAAACTTCCTCAAAGAAAAACAGAAATGTGTTATACATGTATGGTACTTTATACAAGATTAACTTTCTGTACAAGACCAGTCATTAAATCCTGCCCCAAATCATTTGTTTGGTGGCTTTATATTTTCATCTCTTTGGCTTTCTCAAGGCAGGTATTTCACGCTTTAAGCGGCAGAGTATAGAGGTATGTACACAGATATTAGAGTCTAGTTTACAACTACACTTTCTGGTTTTATAATTTAGTTTGATGTTTTAGTTACCCTCTCTGTGCTCAGTTTCCTCATTTGTAAAATGAGGCCTATCAAAGATAATCACTTGATAGGATTGTTGTGACACCTCAGAACAGTGCTGGGCACAAAACACTAAAGCATTAATAGTTAGCTCCAGAGTATTAGTAGTTAGTCCTAGAGTGTTAGTAGTTAGTACTGTAAATTAGTGTCTTTAATCTATGCTGGCATTGCATCTTCTCTGGATTCTCACTAGTCCAAAATATTTTGCCCAGATTTGCTTTCTTTAATTTGTATTATAAAACAAGAGTATAAACAATCCTTCCTTCTAAACAACACATATGACCTGAAGATTCCTAAAAACTTTCTCCTTCCCTCTCTCTAGTTCTCCTCCTTTAAGGAATTGCAGAAAGAAAGAAGTCAATAGAAAATAAAATGTTGAGTATTTAATGGGCTGTGGAGGGTGGTTAGTGATATATCTAAAAGTTAGTGATGATCTAAAAGCTGAAATTATTAAATAAAAAAGGCTGAATTATTCCTGTAAGACCTTTGCTAGCACTAATGAAATGCAGTGGTCCCTTTCCCCCTGCAGAATACATCTGGTGCAATTTTCCCTTTGGCCATAAATTTATGCAGCCACAGACAGCTGACCAATAAATTCTTTGTTTAATTTCTCATAGTTCCCTGTTGAGAAGGGGTCTTTTCATATGATTAGACTTGATGTGAAAGAAAATGACAACATTCTTATTCAGTTTTAATCATTATTTCCCTCTGTGTTATATATAATGTTTGGGTTATTTTAATATACTTCAGCAAAATGGGATAATTAAACAGAGTTCTAATTGATTTAATTGTCCCCATCTTTATAAAATGTGTTTATTTTAGTAGTATTGACTTTGAGAAAATGAAGGCATATATTTTATGTAATTATTTAATTTTGTGATTCATACTCATGACATTAGGTAGCCTAGCTCCAAGATAGACTATACATACTCACTCATTGCATTTTCAGGTGCAGTGTTGCTCAGGGGAAGGATTTTTTTTACTTTTATTTTAAGTTCAGGGGTACAAGTGCAGTTTTATTACATAGGTAAACTTGTGTCATGAGGGTTTGTTATACAGATTATTTCATCACCCAGGTATTAAGCCTACTACACATTATTTATTTTTCCTCATCCTCTCCCTCCTCTCACCCTTATCCCTCTGAAAGGCCCCAATGTGTGTTGTTTCCCTCTGTGTGTCCATGTGTTCTCATCATTTAGATCCCACTTATAAGTTAGAACATGTGGTATTTTAACTGCTGTGTCTTAGGCTATCATGTGCTGTCCTGGAAGACAGTCTGAAGCAACAGGTTGAAACTGATGGAGGTAAGTGCTATTCTTCCAGCTTCCTCTCTTCCTTTATGTGGAATTGAAACTCCTACTATAATCATTCTTCATCAGTTTTGTTTTGTTTTAATCACTTGGATCTACAATGTTTTAATTTTCACAGTTTCCAAGTTTTATTTAGAACTTTTACAATAAGCTCAATAGAATGGTGTGTTGGTACATGGATTTCCAGGGGGAAAATGCCTTGGGTTGTAGCACATGTCACCATGATACCATGATGTTAATGGTATTGAAATCATGGCTGATTTCAAAATACCAATATAACATCACTGAATGTGGAGTTGAAAATGTACATTCAGCACTCGAGAGCCAATGAAGCTGCTCTAGTATGCCACTGCCTCTGTTGTTAACAAGATATATAATATATAAATATAAAATATCATTTCAATGTGTCATCAAAATCTTAAAGTTAATAATGAAATAATACATCCTTTTTTCATATTGTCTATGTGTGTATATATTTCTTAAATAATTTTTTATTGATGTATAATAGATGTACATAGTTTCAGGGTACATGGGATAATTTAATACACTCATATAAAGATCAAATCAGTGTACCTGGGATATCTATCACCTTAAATATTTTGACTAAGAAAACTTTAGTCAGTATTTCAAAATTATTCTACACTATTTGAAAAATATTTTATATGTATATTATGTATGTATATATTTATGTACATACACACATATACCTACACACATGCACAGACCTCCTTTTCTTTTGTAGCTAGAATTTTAGGCATATTCATAACCTTGACAACTGAGTATCATGTGATTGCAAGTGAAATCCAGTATAACAGCTTTACTCCTTTGGATAAAATCTAAATGAATAAAGAGATTAGGCATAAAACCTCTCCACAATTGGAGAGATGCCTTCTTCTCTTCTCAGGTTGCTTTTCTAACAAGCCAGGTGTTCTTGGACTAAAAAGAAAAAAAACAGAGCATTGTTCTGTTAACCTGGTTTTTAGTACTGCATTTAAATGAATAAAAGGTCTAATTGAACAGGCATCACTTTTCACACTTCCTGAAAGCAGATTCAGATTACTGTGAATTGTGATTTTGTAAGTTTTTTTTTTTTTTTTTTGGATCATTCAAGTACCACTCTCTAGGGAACAGCCCTTAGGTTGATTGAGGTTAGCCACAGCTAGCGACAGCTGTGGGGAAACTAGCAGTACCTTGACAATTCTGTCTTTATTATTCTGAACAGTGCTGATGTTTGGCAAAGAAGCTGCGTATGGTGCCTGGTGATGTTCAGCTGAGTGTGGGTATGTGTCTGTCCATGTTCTCCCGGTGTACCAGTGCCCTCTGGACTTCTGAGATCTTGTGGTTTACCAGGTGCGTGCAGCCATACACCAATGGCAGGAAGAAATAAACTGGCTTTGCTGCGGCTGAAAACCTAGTGTTTATGGAACAATTGAGGCTGATTCTTGTCGTTAAAAGGGATTATAATGTCAACAGGACTGGCTACAGAGATTATGGGGCCTAAAGTAAAATGAAAATTTGGGGCCTCTTGTGAAAACATTATCAATGTTTTCAAGGCAGTGATGACAGAGCATTAAGCCAAGCACAGGGTCTTTGCATTTCCTTCTTTTTCTTTTTTCTTTTTTGTTTCTTTCTTCTTCTTCTTCTTCTTTTTTTTTTTTTTTTTTTTGAGATGGAGTCTCGCTCTGTTGCCAGGCTGGATGCAGTGCAGTGCTGCAATCTTGGCTCACTGCAACCTCCACCTCCCTGGCTCAAGTGATTCTCCTGCCTCAGCCTCCCGAGTAGCTGGGACTACAAGCACGTGCCACCATGCCCAGCTAATTTTTGTATTTTTAGTAGAAACGGGGTTTCACCATGTTGGCCAGGATGGTCTCGATCTCTTGACCTCATGATCCACCCACCTTGGCCTCCCAAAGTGCTGGGGTTACAGGTGTGAGCTACTGCACCCTGCTGGTCTTTGCCTTTCTAAATGCAGGGCCTTGAGTGAATGCACAGGTCATACACCCATGAAGCTGAGCCTGAATGTCATCATAGGTCCTCTGCATCTCCTTGCCATGCCATGGTGTTACCATGACGATGGAGCTAGGAAGCTTCAATAGGGACAAGATGCACTGGGGAGCCCTTCACCATCACAGACAGGAAAGTGTCCAGTCCTTAAAAGGAAAAAGAGGCAGCATCTCCTTCCAGAAGATAACTTGGGCAGATAATTACAATATGCGGCAGCAGAACGATTAGTCAGAAGAATTCCAATAAAAATAAATTCACATGCTTTCAAAGTCCAGAAGGCCAAACCTGGGGCTTCCCTGGCCAAAAGGAGTCAGAAATCTTAAGTTGAAAAAGTTTAGTGAGAACAATCTATCAAGTCTGCCCTGTAAGCAAAGATGAATAGGGAAAAGCAACAGAACGTATTTTCTGCCAGGATTCCTACAAAGGCATCATTAAAACAAAAGATTGTAAAGTCTGTGAAACCGTCTGCTCTCTGACTTGGTGGAAAATGCTTAATTAGCAACATGTAGAGGTTAAAATACAGTTTACACTCTGTTTTATAAAAATGTCAGCATCTTTCTATGACCAATGTATTACACAGACCTATTGCAAATGATTATTCTTACTATAAAAGGATTCTCTACAGCAGAATCGTACCTAAGATCCCACTGTCACTTAAAAACCTAAAGAGTTGACAGTCCTTATTCTTCTATCTTTATATGAATGACAACTGGGGACAACACTAGAAATTGTAGAGACAGGAAATGGTAGCTGGGTGAGGGAGGGTCTAGATATCAGAAGAAAAAGGGCGGGGAAGATTTAGTGTGGTGAAGTTTGGTGTCTGGAATTGAATAGAACGTTAAGAAACAATCAGCTCCATTGCAGGTCTTGGTCCTTGAACTGTATTTCTCACACTACACCCCACAGGCAATAGTTTTCCCTTCCGTGGCTTCAGCAAGATCTTTGAGGCTGAGGACTTGCAAGGCTCTGGCTCTAGGTTGTGGCTCTTTTTCTGAGTTGCAGACTCAAACTTCATCTCCCACCACACTCCTATTCATGACGAGCTACCTGCAGGACTTAGAACACACAATGCCTTTCCCCTTGCTGTTTCCTGTGCCTAGAATCCCATCTCTAATGCTAACCACTAACACCCCCACATCACTGCCTTTCCAACTTGCTAACTCCTCCAGATTCTTTTATACTCAGTTCCAATGAAGCTCTTCCTGGAAGCTTTCCCCATGTGTCTTTCTGATTTTTATGCTTTCCTTCTGGCATCCTTTGCCATTTCCTTCTCTCCCACAATACTTATCATAGTATACTATAATTGTGCATTAACTTATTTGTCTCTTTCCCCAAAACAAGAGCTCCTTGAGGGCTGGGGCTGAATGAAGTCCTATTCTTGTTACATTTTCAGTTCCTAGCTGAGGCATAGCGTGTACTCAATAGTTACACGCTGTTATATGGTAAACACATGTGACAGCAGTAACTTAAGCATCCCTGAGAATAATCCCTTGTGGCAGACACACCTGAAGCAATAACTTAAGCATAGCCTATATGGCAGACACACCTGACAGTAATGACATAAGAAATGAGAGTTGCCACGTGGAGGTTGCTGGGAGGATGGCAACAAGTGAAAGTGGTATATAAATGGCATGGTGTTTACAAGTGGTTGTGATTCTCCCATTTAGCCTGCTGCCACTGGACTATCCTGTAAGTTCTCCCCAAATAAACCCTATGTTTTGTTCACTGGCTTTGCGTCTCTTCAGCCTCTTGAACCTGGTTCCCTTCCTATTGAGGTAAACACGGGTCCACCAGACAATTGATGAGCTAGCTGGAATGTTGGAGAAAAATCCCATGAGTGCCAAGGAGATGGGATTGGGGAAGGGGAAATCCATGGGGGAAATTCCAGGCTGGCCATACACATTTATGTGGGGCCCAATAGCCCCTGTGTTTGGTGGATGAGGCCCAACACGTGCGTACAGGGATACCCCAAAACATTGAACGGTCTGGAAGAGCTGTTGCAGTAGGTGGATCCAACTATGTGAAAGTGCCTAGACTGTGGCAGCTGTGGTTGGCTGGTTGCTCCTGACTACACTGTGAACAGCCAAGGAAGCTGAGCTTGCAGCACAGGTGGGGGCTTATTAGTTACAGGATGAGCTATGATTAGAAAGAGGTGCCAGGTTAGTTCAGGCCGAAATGTCGGAGACCTTGCTGTCCCGCCTGTGAGCACAGGGTGAAAAAGTGCAGACCTTGGCTTATCAGGTAGCCTGTTTGAAGGGTCACTGGCTTCCACATCAATGAGTCAGGGCTATCATGACTAAATTGTCCTGGGACTCCATAGAGAGCTCTAGTGAGGAAGAGAGTGAGGATTGAGATCAGCCCATAGAGGTTCCTGTATCCTCTGCACATCCAGTGGTCACTACCAAGATAAAAGTGAGCCAACTGGGCCTGCAGGGAATAGGCCACCAAGAGTTGCCCCCAATTGAAAGGCAGCAGCATGCCACAATGTAGGACTATACTGCTATGTAATTTGTGGAGCCAGGAAAGAGGTTCAGGCAGAAGGGGAGAGAGTTGATCATGGGGTGATTTCTCCATCTATGGGACATGGGGCAAAGGGTGTCTTACTGTCTGGACTCAAGATGAGTGGAATGGCATCCATCTCAAGCCACACAACCCTAAGGCAGTACCTCTGTGGCTTCAATAGTGAACATCGGGCCATTCCTATTCTTAGCTGAGTGGTTGCAGGCTGCAAGGAAGCCTGGCCAAATGAGGGAGACATCCCTATGTCTCCTCTGCAATGACAGACCATGGAGGAATTGCAGGATATCCTCCCGGAATTAGGGACAAAGCATGCTATCTATGCTTAACGTTACCGAGGTCCTGACAATGAGCTTTTCACTGCTGCCATGAAAGACACCATTTTACAGTTGGCACCTACCTAATGGTATGGCATGCTAGTGTCTATCCTGAGCCCCTTGGTAGGACAGCCAGTGTCTTGGGCAGCCCAAGTGGCTGCCAGCTTTGGGGAAATGGAGAAACTGTGTAGGTGTGGGGTGCACACTGATCAAGGTAACCTGCTATTGCCCTTGCCATGGAACCTGCCCACTGGGGAGCACATCATTATGTGGCCTTGGAAATGGCAAACCAGGCCCCAGTGGTTTGGTTTTTCCACTCTATTGGGAAAGGCCTGGAGTGAGATATTGGGTCACACCCGTCTTGTTCCCTACTCCCCCTCATACTTCTTTCTGGAATGGTGAGTCCTGATCTGCCCTTGCACACGGGGGGATGATCATCTTCTCATTGTGGAATGTTGCGGTGCCCCTGGTGTCTTGCTCTGGCCTCATGTGCAACATGGTGGGGAGGGGGAGGGGAAATCATTTAGTACTGCAAACTTGTCCTTTCTTGTACCCACTAAACATCTCACCTTCTGCCCATAGACAGTGTGCAGCAAACGTCTTCATTGACTAGGCACAGACAGTGGCTTCTCTCCAGAACACAACAGATGGTTGGGTCTGTGGAGAGCTGCCCTTCTCCTCTACCATGGGCCTGCTGTGGCACATCCAAGATCAACTCCCAAGCACTTAGAAAAACTTTATGATTGTTATTATATTCCCTGTTCTTTTTTGTTGCAGTTTGTATTCCTGCTGCTGTGTCTGGCCGCAGTGTGCCTCTGCACACCTGGCCCCAGGAGAATTGTGGGAGAATGGTATGCTAAGATTGTGGGGGCCATTAAAGGGGATGCTGGGGTTGACACATCTGAAAGCGGTAACTTAACTTAGGCATTCCAGGAGAATGACCCTGTATGGCAGATGCACCTGACAGCAAGAAAGTAAGAAATGAGGGGCTGGGACTAGTGGCTCACACCTGTAATCCTAGCACTCTGGGAGCTGAGGTGGGAAGATCACTAGAGCCCAGGAGTTTGACAGTTTGAGATCAGCCTGGGCAACAAAGTGAGACCCTGTCTCTAAGAAAACAAAAAACAAAAAACAAAAAACTGGACATGGTAGTTCATGCCTGTGGTTCCAGCTACTCAGGAGGCTAAGGTGGGAGGATCACTTGAGCCCATGAGGTTGAGGCTGCAGTGAGCTATGATTGCATCACTGCACTCTAGCCTGGGTGACAGAGCAAGACCCTATCTCAGAAAAACAAAACAAAACAAAATTTAAAAAACCCACACCAAAAAAACAAAAAACAAATAAATAAACTAGGGTTGCCATATGGAGGTTGATGGGGTGGAGGGTGATAAATGAAAGTGCTATATAAACAGCATGTTTCTTACAAGTGGCCACACCCACTACCACTGGACCACCCTGTAAGTTCCCCTAAATAAACCTATGTTTTAGTTTGCTGGTGTCAGGTCTGTTCTTCAGCGTCTTGAACCTGGTGCCATACCTAATGAAGTTGATAGGGGTCCAGCATGGCAGTTGGATGGATGAATAAATTAATAATTAAGTGAATGTTAGTTCTGGAGGGACGAGTGGAGAAGTTGTTAGCCACATGCCTGGTTCTTCCTCTAAGAAAAATTGGAGTGTGTGATGGTTAATATTAAGTATCAACTTGATTGGATTGAAGGATGCAAAGGATTGTTCCTGGGTGTGTCTGTGAGGGTGTTACCAAAGGAAATTAACATTTGAGTCTGTGGACTGGGATAGGCACACCCACCTTCAATGTGGGTGGGCACCATCTAATCAGCTGCCAGCAGGCAGGAAAAGGTGGGAGGAACAGACTTGCTGAGTCTTCCAGCCTTCATCTTTCTCCCATGCCGGATGTTTTCTGCCTTCAAATATTGGACTCCAAGTTCTTTGACTTTTGGACTCTTGGACTTACACTAGTGATTTGCCAGGGGCTCTTGGGCCTCCAGCCACAGACTGAAGGCTGCACTGTCAGCTTCCCTACTTTTGAGGTTTTGGGACTTGGACTGATCCACTAGTGGCTTCCTTGCTTCTCAACTTGCAGACAGCCTACTATGGGACTTTACCTTGTGATCATGTGAGTCAATTCTCCTTAATAAACTCCCTTTCAGATATACGTATATCCATATACCCTAGAGAACCCCGACTAATACAGAGTGGTTAATGGAAGAGTAGAAAGAGCATAATTTACGTGTAGCTTATCTACTTAGTGGCTGTTGAGAACGTGTTCAGATGGAGTACACCTGCAGCTTGTTTCCTCACTGTCACAGTAAAGGGTCATGTGAAGAATTGTTTCACATTCCTGTGTTAGCTGTGCATTGATATGGCCTTTAAACAGTGACTCTCCATTCTGGCCAAGAGTTCAGGGTACTCATATCTGGATCTTCTCATTCATTGTCTCCCTTGCTCCTTCAACAGTTTTTCTTTCAGCATCGCTTTTGGCTGCATTCAGGAAATTGCCCTGATGGGTTGAAGTGAGAGAATGGTCTGCTGTGTGTGTTCTCACTCCTCCCAGGGCTGTGTCTGGGACTCTGGGAAGCAGGGTGGTTGATGATTGAATGGCTGCTGCCTGCTCTCCTCTCCCCTTTCCTGATTGTCACTGACTTTGGCCTCACATTGCTTGGTGACAGCCAAGTCCTACATGCTGGGTTTACTCTGCTGAAAAAGCCTCAGAAAATGGGACAGCCGCCTGCAGTTGCCCTTTCAGGTGGGACCAGGAGGCCAAATGGTGGATAAATGAGAAAGTAATGGAGTGAGTTTGTCTAAATGATCTATGAAAGGTCTCCTCCTGTGGTAACTCCTGCCTCTTGACTTCAGCTCCTGCTCAGGAATCTGGACGGTGGACATACATTTGATTGGACAGGCATGTATTTCTACTTTTCTTATGTTCTGGCGACAGTGTGTCAGGTAGAATTTACTTAAGTGGAAATTAAAATTTGTAAATCCCACAAGTTCTTGAAGAGGTAACTTACAAAAGTCCCACCTTGTAGAACCACTGATGATAAATACCAAGGACTGTGAGGATGGGAAGGAAATTTGAAGAAATCCAATCCCCTGATTTTTTTAGATAATTATAATAATTAGCATTAATTGACAACCTAACTATGTGCCAGCTTATGTATCACCTCTGTATATTATATCATTTAATCCTTAAAACAACAGGGCTTTAGGTCTTGTTATTGTATTTTACTTATTTAATTTTTGGAGTCAAAATTTTTATTCTTCAAGTCACACATGGAATTCTCATTTTAGAGATGAGGAAATCAGTGATTGGAAAAGTGAAAACAACTGCTTGGTCATTTCACTAGTGGGAGGTGGAGCCAGAGGTAGAACCCACAGATCCTTTTATTTTACATCTATAATCATATTTACTGTTTATTTAGAGCCTACCAGATACTGGGACGAGTCCTTCACATGCACTGAATCATGAGACCTCCTTGACTCTGAGATATAGATATGGTTATCTCCATTTGACAGGTTAGGAAACAGATTCAGAGAGCTTAAAGGGCCTGCCTATTCAAGGTCAAGCAGTAGAATTGAACTAGAAATCCGGTCTTCTGGAAGGCAAGTGTTTCTTTCATGCTTTCAGGTTGTGTCAGTGTTGTAAGGTCTTAGAAGGTATTTTTGACGGTATTATTTTCAGATCCTGGAAGGAAAGTTTGGGGACAGTGGAGGTGCTGAATTGCCTGTTGGTATCTTGCACTTTTTCTGCCCACCTGAGTTCTCTCCTCAGTGTCCTAGAGGCAGGAAGCCTGCACACTTTATTTTCCAGAATCCTTTGTCAGCAGGCTCCTACTGCAGATGCCACAGATGACAGGAATTCATAGAAGATTTGGGAGAGGAAGAGAAAAAAAGTCATTGTCCACCCCTCCATCCAATCTACTACTACTCTCTGCGTATTCACACCACTCCAGCCCTCCTCTCAACCTCGTTGATGGTGAGATAACAGTAATGAGGATACTACCCTGTAAGGGTTTTTGATTCAATTATCCTTCTACCTGGATTGTTTTTTCTAGATACTCACGTGACTGTCTCCCTTCTCTCGACTTTGTTCAAACGTCCCCTACTTCCTGAAATCTTCCCCGAGCACCTTACTTAAAATGACAGAAACCATCTTGGCACGTTTCCATTCCCCCATTCCCTGCTTCATTTTTCCCCATAGCATTTATCAGCATCTGATATATATTTTACTTGTTAATTTATTTATGCCAGTCTATTTCCACTAGAATATGAGCTTCACAAAGGCAATTATTTGTGTCTGTTCATTACTGATTCCCTGTTCCAAGAACAGTATCTGGCTCAAGTTGAGCACTCAATAAATATTTGTTGAATAAATGAGAATGCACACTGCCCCTGACAGGTGAGCATGGGTGGTCACTCTGTACTTGCCGCACTGGTGCACTCCTGGAAGTCAATCATAAGAGTCTCATTTGCTTTGATCCTGAGCCTGCCATTGCCTTTGCTGTTCCTCCTACTCTTTCTTGCTACTCTGATCTGTGGGGGCATCTGTTGGGTAAGGATCCAATTTTCCATAAAAAGTACAGATGGAGTTATCAAGAAGGCTATGCACAGCAGGGAGTCTAGCTCTGCCAACCATTTGTAAAATCTTTGTCATAGCAGTCAGTGATGTACCAAAGGGGAGGCGGTAAAGGCTGTCTGGCCTGATGGGGAGGAGTTGCCTTGACATTGTTTAGAATTGCCAGTACATGGCGATAACAGAAATCAGACTTTTAGTTGGCTTTATTTATAGTATTTAAAATTTCCCCAGAATATGCACCCACTTATTGCTTTCACACTAAATATGAGCACTCCCACTGCCCTGCCCTGGGTATACTACAGGCAGCAACAGAGAGATGGCTGAGGGTCTGAAGCTGACCTCTAACAGGCATGCCCACAGTGTTTGAGAGCTCATTGTAGTAACGCTTCCACCATTGAGAACAGCACTGCTTCACAAGGAAGGTTAGCATGGGTACTGATGCAGAACTTAAATTTGTTCAATGTATCCACTGCATCCTGATGACCCAGCGTTCTTGCCAAGTCCTGAAATTCCATGTTAGGAGAGATTTCTGGGTTTACTATTTGCTTTGTAAAAAATTATTCTAAACTTGGCTTAAGACAGTATCTCAGTTTGAGTGCTAAGAATCTGGGCATCTTAATTGGGACTTTTTTTTTTAGGGTCTCTCATAGGCTGCAGTCAAGGTATAGGCTGGGGTTGTAGTTTCATCTCAAGGTCCACCTGGGGAAGCGCCCACTTCCAAGCTCATTCATGTGGTTGTTGGAAGGCCTCAGTTTCTCACTGGCTGCTGGTCAGAGGTTACACTTAGTTCTTTGCCACATGGGTCCCTCCACAGAGCATCTCACAACATGGCAGAGTGAGCAAGGTAGCAGGCAAGAAGGAGCACCAGCAGGAGAGAGAGGACTATCGAAAGGGAAGTCACAGTCTTTTATAACCTAATCTAAAACACGATATGCCATCATTCTTGCTGTATTCTATTAGAAGCAAGTCACTAGGTTCAGCACACATGCGTGTACATTGGGAAGGAATTACACAAAAGTATGAATACCAAAGGCAGAGATCACTGGGAGTCACTTGGGAAGCTGCCCCACATTAGATCTCTTCTTAATAATTACTTTAAATATGCATGCACTGAACCTTGGGATGCTCAGTAAATTTTTCAGCCAGATCTTATTTTTCTTATACCTTGTAGAAATTGCTATACCTTGAAGCTTCTGGATGATGGATGAAGTTATTTTCTGGGTTATGCTGAGGATGAACATTTTTTTCTTGCTTTGAAATTTCAAAGGGAATTTGGGAGGGAAGAGAGTTAAATAAGTATGATTAAATGTTATTTTTGCATGGAAATGTTCAACTATTTTTTAAAAGGTATGGTGCATGGGCCATACAGTTTTTGAGGTCTTGCATATGTAGATGTCTGGCTGTTGTATTTGCCTATAAAAGAGTTGGTTGGATATCAAGTTATTGATACATATTCTTTTCTTCTAGAAATTTTGCTGACATTAATTCACCGCCTTCTAGCATTTTTTGTTGTGGTGTACAAAGGAAGCCTTGGTTAGCTAGGTTCTTGATCATTGTACATAGATGCTTTCAGTACTCTCCCACATAACCTAAATATTCACCTTTTTAGCATGTGGCAACAGTGTCCTACTACAAGCATCTGACTTTGTGCTGAGAACTTCTGTCAGCACATGGGCTGGCCTGAAGTAACAGGATTTAAGATCCCTTCGTCACCTTTTAGCCAGAGATGGATAGTAGTTCAGGATAAATATCTCAGCTTCCTCACCCCTTAAGTGGGATAATGCTTTATATTCCTAGATTTCTCCATTACAGTTGAGCTTCAGTTGCCTACAGCTGTAACAATCTCAATAAAGGTGACTTTAATCATTACTGACTCTTCCTTATTTCATGTACCCACTCCTCTACAGGTTCCTCCTGGGATCAGCAAACTCTTGTCTCAGAATCTTCTTTGGGGGAACCCACTGGAAGACAATTCTTTAGAGGTAAGTTTATTCAGGTATCAGTAATCTTGTCCAGATGTTTACAAGATTTCAAAAAATTCGTTTATTTTGATTGTTCAAAATTTTGTCAGGTTTGCCAAGAGGTTGTGTTTCTTTTATTTTTAAAATATTTTAACTTTTAGGTTTGGTGGTACATGTGCAGGTTTGTTATATAGGTCAATTCATGACTTGGGTGTTTTGTGTACAGATTGTTTCATTACCCAGGTACTAAGTATAGTACCTGACAGTTTTTCGTTTGTTTGTTTTTTGAGACAAGAGTCTTGCTCCATTGCCCAGGCTGGAGTGCAATGGCACGACCTCGGCTCAATGCAACCTCCACCTCTCTGGTTC
This sequence comes from Homo sapiens, assembly GCF_000001405.40. Classification (NCBI taxonomy): domain Eukaryota; kingdom Metazoa; phylum Chordata; class Mammalia; order Primates; family Hominidae; genus Homo; species Homo sapiens. Next base: position 100,922,015 of record NC_000009.12, read on the forward strand.
AAGCAATTCTCCTGCCTCAGACTCCTGAGTAGCTGGGATTACAGGCACGTGCCACCACACCCAGCTGTTTTTTTTTTTTTTTTTTTTTTGTATTTTTAGTAGACACGAGGTTTCACCATATTGGCCAGCCTGGTCTCGAACTCCTGACCTCAGGTGATCCACCCACCTCGGGCTCCCAAAGTGCTGAGATTACAGGCGTGAGCCATCGTGCCTGGCTGACAGGTTTTTTTTTTTTTTTTCCCTGAACCTCTCCCTTTTCCCGTCCTCCTTTCTCAATAGTCCCCCAGTGTCTGTTGTTTCCAACTATGTGTCCATTTGTTCTCATCACTTAGCTCCTACTTATAAATGAGAACATAGAGTACTTGGTTTTATGTTCCTGCACTAGTTTGCTAGGAATAATGGCCACCAGTTCTGTCCATGTTCCTGCAAAGAACAAGATATTGTTATTTTTTATGGCTGCATGGTATCCCATGGTATGTATGTACCATATTTTCTTTATCCAGTCTACTGTTGATGGGCTTTTAGGTTGATTCCATGTTTTTGCTATTGTATTGCAGCACTATATTGAATAGTGCTGCAGTGAACGTACATGTGAATGTGACTTTATGGTAGAATGATTTATATTCCTTTGGATATTTGCCCAGTAGTAGAATTGCTGGGTCAAATGGTAGTTCTGTTTTTAGTTCATTGAGGAATTGCCACACTTCTTTCCACAATGGTTGAACTAATTTACACTTTCACCAGCAGTGTGTAAGTGTTCCCTTTTCTCTGTACCTTGCCAGTATCTGTTATTTCTTGATTTTTTAGTAACAGCCATTTTGACTGGTGTGAGATGACATCTCATTGTGGTTTTGATTTGCATTTATCTAACGATTGGTGATATTGAGCATTTTTTAATGCTTCTTGGCCGCATGTAAGGTATTTGAAAAAATTGAGGAGGAGGGACTCATCCCCAACTCATTCTATGATGCCAGCATCATCTGCTACCAAAACCTGGCAGAGACACAACAAAAAAAGAAAACTTCAGGCCAATATCCTTCATGAACATCAATGCAAAAATCCTCAACGAAATACTAGCAAACTGAATCCAGCAGCATATCAAAAAGCTAATCCACCACGATCAAGTAGGCTTTATCCCTGGGATGCAAGGTTGGTTGAACATATGTAAATCAATAAATGTGATTCATCACATACACAGAACAAAAGACAAAACCCACATGATTTTCTCAATAGATGCAGAAAAGGCTTTTGATAAATTCAAGATTCCTTCATGTTAAAAAAACTTCCCAATAAACTAGGCATTGAAGGAACATACCTCAAAATAATAGCTATCTATGACAAACCCACAGCCAACATCATATTGAATGGGCAAAAGGCAGAAGCATTCCCCTTGAAAACCAGAACAAGATTTGGATGCCCTCTCTCACCCTGCTATTCAATATAGTACTAGAAGCCCTGGCCAGAGCAATCAGGCAAAAGAAATAAAAGACATCCAAATAGGTAGTGGTTGTGTATCTTTAGCAGGTTTTTCTTAGACGTATGGAACCCTTTAAGAAATGTATGCACTTATTTTTCCTAAGCTCAAGGATTTTGTTAAACTATAGCTTTGATCATTTTTTCTTTTAAAATTTATTCTGATTTCTTCATAATGTTCAATTTGCTCTGGTCTCTCCTTTAATATCACTAAACATCACTAAAAATTGGAATATTTGTTCTCTGTTTTCTTTCTTCCGTATCTATAATGGTATCTTTCATTAGTTATATGTGGTTATTTTTAGTCCCCACATTAGACATGGTTTGGCTCTGTGTCCCCACCCAAATCTCATCTTGAATTGTAATAATCCCCACATGTCAAGGGTGGGACCAAGCGGAGATAATTGAATCATGCGGGCAGTTTCCCCCATGCTGTCCTCATGATAGTGAGTAAGATCTCATGAGATCTCATGGTTTTATAAGGGGCTTCCCCCTTCCCTGGGCACTTATTCTTTCTCCTGATACCCTGTGAAGAGGTGCCTTCCACCATGATTGTAAGTTTCCTGAGGCCTCCCCAGCCATGTGGAACTGTGAGTCAGTTAAACCTCTTTTCTTTATAAATTACCCAGTATTGGGTATTATTTCATAGCAGCATGAGAATGGACTAACACAGTAAATTGATTCTGGGAGAGTGGGGTGCTACTATAAGGATACCCAAAAATGTGGAAGTGACTTTGGAACTGGGTAACAGGCAAAGGTTGGAACAGTTTGGAGAGCTCAGAAGAATACAGGAAGATGTGGGAAAGTTTGGAACTTCCTAGAAACTTGTTGAATGGCTTTGACCAAAATGCTGATCGTGATATGGACAATTAAGTCCAGGCTGGGGTGGTTTCAGAGGGAGATGAGGAACTTGTTGGGACCTGGAATAAAGGTGCTTCTTGATATGCTTAAGCAAAGAGATTGGTGGTATTTTGCCCCTGTCCTAGAGATCTGTGCAACTTTGAACTTGAGAGAGATGATCTAGGGTATCTGGTGGAAGAAGTTTTTAAGCAGCAAATTGTTCAAGAGGAAGCAGAGCATAAAAGTTTGGAAAATTTGCAGCCTGACAATGCAGTAAAAAAGAAAAACCCATTTTCTGGGGAGGAATTCAAGCCCACTGCAGAAATCTGCATAAGTAATGAGGAGCCAAATATTAATCACCAAGACAATGGAGAAAATGTCTCTAGGGCATGTCAGACAACTTCAAGGCTGTCCCTCCCATCATAGGTCCAAAGGCTTAGGAGGGAAAAATGGTTTCTTGGGCTGGGCCCAGGGCTCCCCCTGTCTGTGCAACTTTAGGACATGGTGCCCTGAGTTCCAGCTGCTTCAGCTCCAGCCATGGCTAAAAGGGGCCAAGGTACAGCTCAGGCCATTGCTTCAGAGGGTACAAGCCCCAAGCCTTGGTGGCTTCCATATGGTGTTGAGCCTGTAAGTACACAGAAGATGAGAATTGAGGTTTGGGAACCTCTGTCTAGATTTCAGAGGATATATGGAAACACCTGGTTGTCCAGGCAGAAGTCTGCCGCAGGGGTGGCTGTCTCATGGAGAACCTCTGCTAGGCAGTGTGGAAGGGAAATGTGGGGCTGGAGCCCCCTCACAGAGTCCCCACTGGGGCACTTCCTGGTGGAGCTGTGAGAAGAGGGCTACCGTCCTCCAAACCCTGGAATGGTAGATTCGGCAACAGCTTGCACTGTGTGCCTGGCAAAGCTGCAGACACTCAATGCCAGCCCATGAAAGCAGCCAGGAGGGAGGCTGTGCCCTGCAAAGCCACAGGGGTGGAGCTGCCCAAGGCCATGGGAGTCCACCTCTTGCATCAGCATGCTCTGGATGTAAGACATGGAGTCAAAGGAGATCATTTTGGAACTTTAAGGTTTAATGACTGCCCTATTGGATTTTGGACTTGCATGTGGCCTGTAGCCCCTTTGTTTTGGCCAATTTCTCCCATTCAGAATGGGTGTATTCATCCAATACCTGTATCCCCATTGCATTGCCTTATCTCAGATAAGACTTTGGACTTGGACTTTTGAGTTAATGCTACAATGAGTTAAGACTTTGGGGACTGTTGGAAGTGCATGATTGTGTTTTGAAATGTGAGGACATTGGGAGGGGCCGGGGTGGAATGGTATAGTTTGGCTCTGTGTCCCCACCCAAATCTCACCTTGAATTGTAATAATCCCCACATGTCAAGGGCAGGACCAGGTGAGATAATTGAATCATGGGGGCAGTTTCCCCCATGCTGTCCTTGTGATACAGAGTGAGTTCTCTCGAGATCTGATGGTTTTATAAGGGCCTTATCCCTTCACTCAGTACTCATTCTCTCTCCTGCCACTCTGTGAGGAGGTGCTTTCCACCATTATTGTAAGTTTCCTGAGGCCTCCCCAGCCCTATAGAACTTTGAGTCAATTAAACCTCCTTTCTTTCTAAATTGCCCAATTTGCATATTTCTTCATAGCAGTGTGAGAACAGACTAATCCAGCATTCTAAGAAGGCTTTTCAAGTTTTTAAATGACATAACTTCTTCCATTTTCTGCAGCATCGATTTTGTTCTTTACCCTCTCAATGTGGTCTTAAATTCTGCTATTGTGTTTTTTCAATTCCTTGTTATCTCATCCATTTCCCCCTTTCATCTCATCTCAGCTTTTAAAAGAACTTGTTGCTTTTTAAAATATATAACATATATTTTACACTTTACTGGTATTTCCTGGAATTTTTTTAGACCTTGCAATTGACAGTATTGTAAAGGTATGCTTTTCTCTGAGTCTCCAGGATATTGCCTTTTCCTATTATGCAGTTTTATATTTTGTTTTGTTCCATATTTACATTTCTTTTTTACTCATCCTTGGTAAAGGTAACATCTATATAGACTGCATTAGTCAGGATTCCCCAGAGAAGCAGAACAAATAAGAGATATCTATCTATAGCTATAGCTATATATATCATATACCATATATATGTATATGAGATTTATTATGAGGTGTTGGCTCACATGATTATGAAGGCTGAGGAGTCCCACGATCTGTCACAATCTGCTCTCTGCAAGCTAGAGGCCCAACAAAGCTGGTGGTGTAATTCTAGTGCAAGCCTGAAGGCCTGAGAACTAGGAGAGCCAATGTCTGAGGGCAGAAGAAGATGCATGTGCCAGCTCAAGCAGAAAGAGCAAATTCATCTTTCTTTTGCCTTTTTGTTCTGCTCAGGCCCTCAATGAATTGGATGATGCCCACCTGCATTGGCAAGGACGGATCTTTTTTACTCAGCCTGTCGATTCTAACACACTCAGAAATAATGTTTTGCCATCTATCTGGGCATCTTTTAGTCCAGTCAAGTTAACACAAAAAAATAACTATCACATAGACTTAGTGTTTATCAACAAATAGGGTGATTAATTTGGCCTATGTACTTCTTCCTATTTGCACAGAGATCAAATCTCTTTCTTAGATTTCTTGTTGGAAGAAGGAAGATTCATGTACACAGGTCTTAAATTCCCATTTCTTAGCAGCCATGTCCCCAGTGAGGGCGGCTTCTCCGTCATTGCCTAATTTTCTAGGATATTAAAAACTGTGAATAAATTTGCTAAGATGCCCCATGCCATTTGTAATTGTGCCCCTCTTAAACCTCTACTTCCATTTCCTGCCCAGTTATTTTTCTAGGATTTACAGACTCTAAGAGGATGTAGAGGAATGCCTATGGAGATGGGAAAAAGTGGTTTCATGAGTTCAGAGGTCTTCATGTTCCACTAAAGTTCTAAGAGTTATACAATGATGATTCCTGGGAGCAGCTCCTGTATGTGGGTTTAAGAAACACTTTATGTTGCAAGGATTATAGTAGATTTTTCCTACCTTATTTTTCATGGTTCTTTTATTTCCACAAAACAAAGATGGTTAATGCCATGAGCTGATGCTTTGGTCAATTTTCTAAATTCATGTTATCTTTCTTAGTTATTAATTAGTTTCTCCCAGATTTTGGCATTAGGCGGTGTGACAGCCTTAATTTCTACTGGCTTTGTGAATTGTGTTTTTAAAATATATTATCATTAATATTTCTTTGAAAGATTGAGAAATACGGCATAAGTAAATGCTAACAAGACACTCCTTTGAATGAGAAATCTCATATTTACATATATTACAATAAATGCTTACTAGAGTTTGTCTTGTTAGTTGAACACAATGTATAGCAGTAGGGATTTTTGATTTCATGTGTTTTAAACTTTACTCATCAGTAATATTATTTTCTATTATGTGATTAAAATATCTGTGACAAATAACTGTAAGCTTGCTTTGTACATGCTATAAATATCTAGCTTAAAATTATTTTTGAAGCACCACTTCAACTTTATATGCCAATCTTGAAGAATATTGCTGCCAAAAATTATGACGAAGTAACTCAAAGCATACATATTCATGGCCATTGCTTCATATCTCTCCTTAGAATTCATGATTACATCCAATGTAGTGACAGAAACTCAGGGGAAGATATCCAAGAAAGCAAAACCTAAGCCGCAGAGAATAGATCCCCATCTTTAACAGGTATTAAAAACATAAGCATGAGAATGATTGACATGCAGGTGGATATTATAAAAGTGCAAGACTTTGAAGGCTTTTTCTGACATGGTGAAAATGAAAAAGGAAATCCAGACTTTAAAATTCATATGCTTATTCTTCTGAAGTTTAAATTTTGGCCCTGCCACCTGTGATTAAGATTAATGGTAGATTGGAAGGCCTAGGCGGGTGTATCACGAGGTCAGGAGATTGAGGCCATCTTGGGTAACATGGTGAAACCTCATCTCTACTAAAAATACAAAAAATTAGCTGCTGGACGTGGTGGCATGCACCTGTAATCCCAGCTACTTGGGAGGCTGAGGCAGGGGAATTGCTTGAACCCAGGAGGCGGAGGTTGCAGTGAGCTGAGATCACGCCATTGCACTCCAGCCAGGGAGACAGAGAGAGTCTCCGTTTTCTTGTTTTTGTTTTTTTTTTTTTTTTTAAAAATTAACAGAACAACTAAACTTTTCATAATATAAATAAATACGTATCTAGATCAAATATCAAATGTTGCTGAGTTATTGATGAGTAGAAAAATCTGTACCTTTAGTTATTTGTGAGGGTGTGCTAGTGTGACTTTCATGGGAACCAGAGACCAATTGTTTTCATCTCTTCCAAATTCTGCGCTCAGTGACACAACACTGACAGCTTGAAACACAGCACGTTTGGAGCATTTATGTCATGGAAATCAGCAAATGCTACAGTTAGGGTTCCCTCCACCAGAAAGCCAGTTGTTAAACATTTATCAGCACACTGCAATTATTTGTGCCCTTTTTATACTTTCTTTCCCATGTTTATATGATTATATTTAGTTTATTTATATAAAACTCCCAGGCTTCATCATTGTGATTGGTTGAGTCAGCCAATGATATTGGATTTAAATTTTCATACATTTGATTTTACACAAGAGCAGGAAACCATGCTCAAGCAATGATTTCCTCCCTTGTTTTTCATAAGGAGTTGTTGGTTGGTGGCTAATAACTACAAAAACGCAACAGCTATAAACTAGATCCTTTTTTGATTGTTTTTAAATCAATCATCCCATGCTAAAAGATGCACTTCTATTCCATTTTTTAAAAAAAGTAAAACTTTAACATCAATTAGAGGATGTATGCCTCCAGTTATGTAATAATGGACTTAATTTCATTTGCTCTAGAAAGTGTCTCATAAATGAGTGTCCCTTGCATAGGGTCATGTTTCAAGCTCTGCTCCATCATCCTAAAGCGTGGAGGACTTGCTCAGGGTGGGTGTGGGAGACAGATTGTCTGACAGGAGTACTCCGAGAAGTTAAGGAAGCAGGGATTCTAAGAAACAGCTGGCTTCCTCCATTTCTCTCAACCTCCTTGATATTTCTTTCTTCCTTACTCTTTCCAATTCTCCTTTCATCATGATCTAATTCATCGTTTATTACACTAATTAGGTTGCATTTACTTCTCAGACTTTAATTTTTAAAAAGAAACAGTTGATGAGAAAGATGACTATAGAGAGTCATGTAGGTGACCTAGGTAAGAAAGCAATTTGTCAGCTTTTTAAATTGGCATCTTAAAAATTCATGTTCAATATTTATCTGAGGAAGAGAGAATGTCAGTACCTGTTAGGAATCCTTTGTCATTTCACCTTGAAAGCACTACTCCTGTCTATTTCACAAGACCAATTTACATGTAACTAGCTGTGAATGAAACTAAAGGGTGTAGGGCTGAGTTAACTGGCACTGTGTTTTTGAATTAGTTCAATAATATCTAATATTCCTTAGAGAAGTGCTTCTTAACTTTTCATGTGTGTATCTATCACCTGGAAATTAGTTAAAAGCAGATCTAGCAATTTTCATTCAGTAGGCCTGGGGCAGGGCTGGAGATCAAAGTTGTTGCTTAGAATATGAGATATGGAAGGCTTGATAGACCTGTACTTGTAACTGTTTTAAAAGTAATAAGATTTTGGTCTACTAAGTGAGAATATTTGTTAAAAGATGTTCTTTTAAAAGAAGTAATGAAGGGTATTGAAACCAGAAACATTAAGCACACAATAATGAAGTAAAGATTTAACGTGGACACCACTAGATAACTGGACAGTCATATTTCTGTAACAATTGTTGTCATGATAACCATATGTTTACTTCTTCATGTACTGGGACATTCTGATTTATGAATATGTGGTTACAAAGTTGCCATTACATAATATAGATTCCCCACCCCTCGTGCAGTTTTCAACTGTACAATTCTGAGCAAGCCACAAGCTGCCTATGATGTGTTTTTGCCAGGCACCCACTAGATGCTCAGTGAATACTTGTTAGCTGAATTGAACCCAAAGGAAACTCACATACGTGCCTACACAATTTAAACAATGCTTGCCACATGAACATGCTTTCAGAAATGATTATTTCTATTCTAATCTCTTCAGACCTAGATGATAAGCACTGTCTGTTTTTAGGCTTTATGACCAAGTGCACACTTCTGTCCACAAAACAACCCCTTGACCATTTTAGCCACTATTGAGCTCTGCTCTTTCCAAACACCTATAGTATTTATCCTATCTTGTACATCTGCCATTTGTATTAGAAAAAATTGCATCTCTAAAGACACTGCAAAATTTTCAAAAACAGAGGCAATGTCATCTTCTTTTTTGGGATCCCATTTCACTTAGCACAGAGTTAGACACAGAGCAGTTATTCAACTGAAAATTATTAAATTGATTTACCCCTTTGATGCTTTATTGTCAGTTATCCTTTATTTATTAAATATCTTAGATAGTTCAGACAAGGCCCAACAGTTCCATAATCAAACAAAATATATCATTGCTTTAAGAAATTTTCTTGTGACTCAGCCTTTCAGACACCCTTAGAATAAGATATCTTTTGATTTTTTTTTTTTTAAAAAGGCTTAGTTATATTTCTACATGGCTCAGTTAGGCATGATTGTTGGTTTATTTCCTCAAGGTACAGTTGAAAATGTCTTTTATTAAATTTCCATCAGGATTACTGGTTGATGTTTTCTGTATGTTTACCAAAGGGTCAGCTGGACATAATTTTTGGTTTGATTACTTCAACCAGTCAATACACTGAGAAGAGCAAGCCCAGCTGAAACACAGGGAAAAACTAATGCGTGTTGAAGCATATAACTACCATTATTGAAATATTAGGGTAGCTTGTATCTGATTCTAGGTGCTTTCGTTTAAGAGTTTATTTAATCTTATAGCACTATGAGGTCAGTAATAATATAACCCACATGTATAATGAGAGACTGAGGCTCGGAGAATTAAAGATACTTTCCCAATTTCATGGTGCCAAGAAAATGCAGAGCTTGGACTTGAACGCAGAGTATCTGTCTCTAAAGCTGTGCTATCTAATATATTAGCCACTAGCTTCATATAGTATTAAAATTCATTAAAATTAAAAAATCAGTTCTTCAGACACACTAACCACATTTCAAGTGCTCAGTAGGCACCTGTGGCTAGTGGTTAATCTGCTGGACAGCATAGGTATGGAACATTTTCATCATCATGGAAAGTTCCATTGAACAGTGCTTCTCCAGAGTCTGCACCTGCTGGAGACCTGCCAGCTGTGCTACCTTTTGAGAACTTCACTGTGAAAAGGCCCGGAAATTGGAGAGGGCAACTTTATGGGAATGAAGAACTAGGAGGGTAAGGAAGGGGAAGAAAAGAAAAGAAAAGGAAGAGCCCTACATTCTAGCCCACCTGGGATCTACACTGGGGGCTTCATTTAGGGACTAGTCTCTAGAAAAAGAGAATAAATCTGCACATTAGTAGCCAGCAATAACCACCTGCCTCCATCCAGGCTATAAAGGCCTTAGGGTCCACTCTCCCTGGAGAAGCAAGATTTCACCCTGGTCTTGCTTTTGGAGAAGTATGAAAGCTCAGCACCAACCTCACCAGCCTCTGCTGACTGCCCACCCTAGGCCCCCTGGGGCTTGGATGGCCTGACCACTCCACATTCACTGTCTATTCCTGGTTTCCTGACCAACTTTAAGGACTGGCATTCCGTTTTGCTTTATATACACTGAGAAGTCAGCATCTCAGTACAGACTTACCACCTCAGACACATTGACCACTCCAAATACACACTGTAATAAAAAAACAATTATAGCTTATGATTAATATATTCCAGGTACCATGTCTAGGTACTTGTAAGGTAAGAAGCAGAAACTGTAGTTATTACTATTTTTACTTACATCTATTTTTCTGTTTTGTTTATATATGTTTGAATTTTCACAATTCTATGAAATATGTATATATTATTATCATTCTCATTTTACACATAAGGAAACTTAGGCTTAGAGACTTAAATTACACAGCTATGAATCAGTAGAGTGATAGGTGAGCCCCATCCCACCCTCCCCCCTCTAGTAGTTCCCAGTGTCTGTTGTTCTCATCTTTGTATCCATGTGTACTCAAAGTTTAGCTGCCATTTATAAGTGAGAATATGCAGTATTTGGGTTTCTTTTCTTGTGTTAATTTGCTCAGGAGAATGACCTCCAGTTGCATCCATGTAACTGAAAATACAAGATTTCATTCTTTTTTATGGCTGCATAATATTCTATGGTGAACAGGCCCTTAGTTTCTGTTCTTCTTTTTTTTAAATAAAGGTTTTTTCTTCTTCTTTTTTTTTTTTAAAGGGCTAGAGTCTTGCTCTGTCACCCAGGCTAGAGTGCAGTGGCACAATCATAGCTCACCGCAGCCTTGAACTCCTGAGCTCAAGCAATCCTTCTGCCTCAACCTTTCAAGTAGTTAGAACTACAGGTGTGAACCACCATGTCTGGCTAATTTTTGTTTTTTTTCATAGAGACAGAGTTTTGCTGTATTGCCCAAGCTGGTCTTGAACTACTGGCCTCAAGCAATCCTCCTGCCTCAGCCTCCCAAAACACTGGGATTATAGGCATGAGCCAACTGTGCCCAGTCCTGTTAGTTCAATTTTTTAAAGTTTTAGTTTTGAATTTTGTTAAGGCACATTTCAAACATTCAAAAGGCAAAAAATACTTTAACAAAGCCCTAAGAGTTTCATGAAGTACACATTTTCCAGCTATGGTAATCTTTATTATTTTTATTATTTTTTTCAACTTTTTTTGGGTTCAGGGGCACATGTGTAGGCTTGTTACATGGGTAAACTGTGTGTCTCTGAGGCATGGTATACAAATGATCCCATCACCCACGTAGTGAGCATAGTACCCAATAGGTAGTTTTTCAGCACCTGCCCCCTTCTTCCCTCCCCGCTCTAGTAGTCCCTAGTGTCTATTGTTCCCGTTTTTATGTCTGTGTGTACCCAATATTTAGCTCTTACTTATAAGTAAGGACACATGGTATTTGGTTTTCTGTTCCTGCATTAGTTTTCTTAGGATTGTGGCCTGTGTCTGCATCCATGTTGCTGCAAAGGACATGAGTTCATTCTTTCTTATGGCTGTTTAGTATTCCATGGTATATATGTACCACATTTTCTTTACTCAGTTCATCATTGATGGCACCTAGGTTGCTATTGTGAATAGTGCTGCAATGAACATGTGAGTTCATGTGTCTTTGTGATAGAATGATTTATTTTCCTTTGATGGAATGATTTATTTTTGATAGGAAGATTTTTTTTGGCGGGGTGGGGGGGGGTTGTACTCACTCATGGGATTGCTGGGTCAAATGGAAGTTCTCTTTTAAGTTCTTTGAGACGTCTCCAAACTGCTTTCCACAGTGGCTGAACTAATTCACATTCTCGCCAACAGTGTGTAAGTGTTCCTTTTTCTCCATAGTCTTACCAGCATCTGTTGTTTTTGGACTTTTTAATAGCCATTCTGACTGGAATGTGATGTTACCTCATTGTGGTTTTGAGTGATTAATCATGTTGAGCATTCTTTCATATAATTGTTGGCCACATGTATGTTGTCTTTTGAGAAGTGTCTCTTCATGTGCTTTTCCCATTTTTTAATAGAACTATTTGAGTTTTGCTTGTTGAAACTTACAGATTTTGGATATAAGACCTTTGCTGTATACATAGTTTGTGAATATTTTCTCCCATTCTGTCTGTTTACTCTGTTTAATTAGGTCCCATTTGTCAATTTTTTTTTGTTGCAGTTGCTTTTGGGGACTTAGTCATGGATTCTTTGCCAAGGCTGATATCTAGAATGATATTTCCTAGATTTTCTTCTAGAATTTTTATAGTTTTAGGTCTTACGTTTAAGTCTTTAATCCAACTTGAGTTAATTTTTGTATATGGTGAAAGGTGGGGGTGGGGGATCCAGTTTCATTTTTCTGCATATGGCTAGCCAGTTATCCCAGCACCATTTATTTAAGAGGTAGTCCTTTCCCCACTGTTTGTTATTGTCGACTTTGTTGAAGATCAGATAGTTGTAGGTATGGCTTTATTTCTGGGTTCTCTATTCCATTCCCTTAGTCTACGTGTCAGTTTTTTGTAACAAGAACAAGCTATTTTGGTTACTATAGCCTCATGGTGTAGTTTGAAGTTGGTTAATGCGATGCCTCTGGCTTTGTTCTTTTGGCTTAGGATTGCTTTGGCTTTTTAATTTTATTTTATTATTATTATACTTTAAGTTTTAGGGTACATGTGCACAATGTGCAGGTTAGTTACATATGTATACATGTGCCATGCTGGTGTGCTGTACCCATTAACTCGTCATTTAGCATTAGGTATATCTCCTAATGCTATCCCTCCCCCCTCCCCCCACCCCACAACAGTCCCCAGAGTGTGATGTTCCCCTTCCTGTGTCCATGTGTTCTCATTGTTCAATTCCCACCTATGAGTGAGAACATGCAGTGTTTGGTTTTTTGTCCTTGCGATAGTTTACTGAGAATGATGATTTCCAATTTCATCCATGTCCCTACAAAGGACATGAACCCATCATTTTTTATGGCTGCATAGTATTCCATGGTGTATATGTGCCACATTTTCTTAATCCAGTTGATCATTGTTGGACATTTGGGTTGGTTCCAAGTCTTTGAACCAAGCCCAAATGCTTTGGCTTTTTGGACTCCTTTTTTTGTTTCCATGTGAATTTTAGAATAGTTTTTTCTAATCCTTTGAAAAATTATGTTGGTTGTTTGATAGAAATGGTATTGAATCTATAGATTGCTTTGGGAATTGTAGCCATTTTAATGAAATTGAGTCTTTTGATCCATAAACATGGGATGTTTTTCTTTTTGTTTCTTTCATCATCTATGATTTCTTTCAGCAGAGTTTTGTAATTCTCCTTGTAGAAAACCTTCACTTCCTTGGTTAGATGTATTTTTAGGTATTTTATTTTCTTTATGGTTATTGTAAATGGGATTGTGTCCTCGATTTGGCTCTCAGCTTGAATATTATTGGTGTATAGAAATTCTACTTATTTTTGTACATTGTGTCCTGAAATTTTACTAAAGTTGTTTACCAGCTCTAGGAGCCTTTTGGCAGAACCTTTAGGGTTTTCTACATATAGAATCATATCATCAGTGAAGAGAGATAATTTGACTTCTTCTTTTCCTATTTCCTGCAACGTCTGCTCCTGGGTTCAAGTGATTCTCCTGCCTCAGCCTCCTGAGTAGGAGCGATTACAGGCGCCTGCCACCACGCCCAGCTGATTTTTGTATTTTTAGTAGAGACGGGGTTTCACCATTTTGACCAGTATTAAATTCTTGATTGACATTTCCTTTCTTTGAGAATGCTAAATATAGACCTCCAGTCTCTTCTGCCTTATAGAATTTCTGTAGAGAAGTGTGCTGTTAAACCTGATGTAGCTCCCTTTGTGTATGATCTGACTTTTTTCCCTAGTCGCCACTAAGATTTTTTCTTTAACATTGACCTTAGTCTACTGACCATATGCCTTGCTGATGTTTACTTTGTATGGTATCAGGCAGGTGTTCTTTGGGTTTCCTATACTCAGCAAGATTAGAGAAATTTTCTTAAACTATTATCTTGAATATATTTTTCCAGGATGATATGGTTTGGCTCCATGTTCCCACCCAAATCTCATGTCAAATTGTAATTCCCAATATTGGGGGAGGGACCAGGTGGAAGGTGATTGGATCATGGCGGCAGATTTCCCCCTTCCTGTTCTCATGATAGTGAGTGAGCTCTCATGAGATCTGATGGTTTATAAGTGTGTGGCACTTCTCCCTTCGCTCTGTCTCTCTCCCGCTGCCGTGTGAAGACGTGCTTGCTTCCCCTTTGCCCTTCCACTTTGGTTATAAGTTTTCTGAGGCTTCTCCAGCCATGCTTTCTGCACAGCCTGTGGAACTGTGAGCCAATTAAACCTCTTTTCTGTATAAATCATTCAGTCTCAGGTAGTTCTTTATAGCAGTATGAGAATGGACTAATACACAGATTGTTTACTTTTTCTCCTCTTTTGGGAATGCCGATAATTCATACGTTTGATTGCTTTACATGATCCTATATTGTTCATCTTTTAAATTAAAAAAACTTTTTTTCTGATTGGGTTAGTTAGAAAGACCAGTCTTCAAGCTCTGAAATTCTTCTTTCTGCTTGATCTGGTTTATTGATACAGCATTCAATTGTATTCTGAAATTCCTTAAGTGAGTTTTTCAGTTCCAGTATATCTAATTGATTTATTTTTAAGATATTTACCTCTTTTGTTATTTCCTGAGTTGCTTTAGAGGTTGATTTTTGTTCATTTTCAACTTGTCTTGTGTATTGTTGAGTTTCTCTGCAATCCATGCTTTGAGGTCTCCATCTGTTATCTCTGTGCCTCTGTTTTTGTTAGAGATCATTGCAGGAGAGCTAGAGTGAGCCTTTGGTGGTGTCACAGCATTCAGATATTTTATGGTGGCAGAATTATTATGTTGGTTCTTTCTCAACTGAAAAGGATTGTATTGGGTAGGGCTTTTTGGCTTTGCTCCTGTAGTCCTATGCACTTCTCTTGGCATGTTTTTTATTGGGCTATATGGCTCAACCTGCAGGCTGGTAGATGGAATTCGCAGGTAAGAGCCAGGTGCTTCACAAGTTGGTGGGTGTGAACCTGGTTTTTGTTCACTGTGAGGTGCTGTCTGTTGTTTTGGGTGAAGGACTGGACATTGGGGTGCCCAGTGTCTTGAGCTTCCTGTTGTACAGAGGTGGCAGGACACAGCTGAGCAGAGCTGGAGCCCTTCCCTGGCTTCCCACCAATATCCCAATAGTGACAGAAGGCACCAGCCTTGATGAGGGTGGCTGGGGGGAGTTCCTGGTAAAATGTGCTGAAGTTTCGGCAGAGGGTGTTGTGCAGAGGGGGGATGAAGTGGTTGAACTGGCCCCCGCTTTTAGATAAGCAGCAATATGGTCTGTTTCCCTGTCACATTCCTGTTCCAGGGCTTGTGACTCCTAGTTCAGACACACACTGTCATCTGTCTCTGGACTGCAGTGTAGCTGGGAGGTATGGGCAATGCTTGTTTTGTGAATCTCCATGGGAGTGGTTTTAGGGCATAACCTTGTCACTCAACCTGACACAGATAGCTTTTAGACTCGCCTGTTCTCCAATGTAGCAATGCTACTGCTTCTCTTAAAGGAGGGGTGGAGGGGTGCTCCACCTTTGGGCCAGTGTGAGTAGGTGTTGGTTGTGGTGGTGTCAGCTGCTTGAGTCAGCTCAGCCTTAGTTTCTGGGGAAAGTAGTCAGGTTCCAGGAAACTTGAATTGGATTAGGTAGATTCCCAGTTCCCAGGCCCTTCTATATGGTCTGCTAAACAGCATGTATGAGTCCTGAAAGGGCTTGATCGGGGTCCAGCTAACCCAGAGTTGACGTGGTGGCTATTATGGGGGCAGGAAGGCTGGTTCCCTGGAAACTGGTCAAACTCTCAGGCAGGGGCTGGTGGAACACTTAGGTGGTGGGAGCCTGAAGGAAGATCACAGGCCTGTGGGGACTGGGTTTTCAGAAGGGCTCTGGGCTGTAGGTGAGATGACCAGGTGGGGGCAGGGCAGCTGTGCTGTGGGCCTTTCACTAGGGATGGCAGGACCCCTTAGCTGGGGCAATGAAGATTGGTGGCTGTAGGGAACATGGCACGCTCATACTTCCCTCCCACCGAAGCGATGCTGAACTTTACTATTGGGGGCACATAAAGGTGTCAAGCATTGTCTGCTACTTCTGGGAGTTTTGCCCTAGAAGAACACAGAGCTGTCACTGACCGTAATGTTCAGGTGGGGCTGCTACGCTGGAAGCCCAAGCTGGCAAGCCTTGCCTTGCTAGGAGCAGTGGGTATGGGAAGTGGATGGTCTGCTGTCCAGGTGGTTCCTGGGTGAGTGCAGAGTTCAGGCAGGGGTGGGGTTGCTGTGTTGGAAGCCCAAGCCGAGCCTTTCCTGGAGAGGAGGAGTGGGGCAGTCTGACTACTCTTCAGCACCATGACTTTGACCTCTACTGGGGCTATGGCAGTTGGTGCTTGGCTGCTTAGGGATCCAGGGTCTATGGGGTTTCCAGAGCAGTGCCTCTGGAAAAGCTCCAGGCAGCTCTCTGTGTGGTCTAGACAGGGGCTGTGGCGGTGGGTGCTTCTGTGTTCAGGATTACAAAGGTCCATGTGGCAAGTGTGGATCCCTGGGCACTCTCACTCATTCACCCTTTCTCTGCATTAGGGAGCTTCCCCTAGCTCCAGGCTGGTCCTGGATAGGCAGCTTCCTGGCTTCACTCCTCTCTATTCTCTGTGGGTCCCCTTGCTTCCTTGGTGAATCCTGATGTGGTCTCATTAATGATCTACTTGAAGAGCTAGTGTTTACTCACCATTCTGTTTTCTCTCCATGAGAGCACCACACACTAGCTGTTCCTAGTCAACCATCTTGAATTTAATTCTACAGTAATCTTCACATTCTTAACAACTACACTGGATGGCTCTGCTTGTCCAGCATGATGTCAATTTTCTGTGTTCTTGATCTATGTAAACACTCACTTGAGTGTCCAATTGGGCATAGTTTTCACATGATTACTCAAGCCATAGTGTTGATAAGCATCCATTGAGCTTCTAGAACCTGCTCATTTTGATTGGTAAATACCGACGATGGTGACAAGCATGTAGTAACTGATTGGAAGAATTTTCATCTTTTTTACATCAAACTTAGAATTTGTACTCTGTCCAGCGGTAAATATTTGTTACTTATTTTGTATTGCATAAAATAATTTAAGTATGTACTTATAAGTACATACACTTTTGAGTTTGTCTTAGGGACAAGAGTTTGACTTCAAATGCTTATTCCCCTTGAAACCTGTTTTAATCACAAAGTTGGGTGTTGCTTTCTTAAGAGCAAAGTCATTAAGTTTAGGAAGGATGATTTGAGAATAATAAAAGTGGTAATTATACAAACAAATAAATGCAACAATTAATATTTCATTAATTATTATTAGTGTATGCCAAGCTAGTACTGCTAATATAAAACACAAAGGGCTAACTTTTAGAAAATTGGTAGAGTGTCATGGACATAAATAAACTGGAAAAACAGAATCAAAGTCCCAGAGGCTGTTCATAAGTCTTTTGTAGACTGGCTGAGACAGCAGAAAGCTCCCAGTTCATTCTGCTACATAAGTAATACTCTTGTTGGCAATGGCTGGAGGACCAAAGAATTTGGAATGTGATTAAAAATTGAGAATGGCCTCTGACAGTATAATGGATGTGGTATCCAACTCAACACTAAACACAAATATGTCCAATAGGGGAATTTATTATGTCTTACATAGTTGGGAAACCTATATCAACTCCAAGATGTCACAGTGGGAGTACTTGAGTTGTTTCCTAAACCTAAATATGAAACTAAAACTAAAATCAGTTCTGGGGAATGCCTCTTAGGACTGCAGTGATGAAGCATAATTGAACCAGCCATGTGTGGAGATGACATCAGAGGATAAACCAGCTTGTCCTGGCTGAACTCAAATGGGGTTAGCTCAAGAGCAAGGATAGGAAAGAAACATGATCATTCCAAAGGATAGTTTCCAGCAAGGTAACTTTGGGTAAATATGACTGGGGGAATTAAAAAGACAGAGGGAAGGCTTTGAAAACTGCACCAGTGGTCACACAACAAAAAGTCATCAGCAGTGGTACTGAATCACGTGTAATAGCCACACCCAAGTGTGCCCTCAGCATCATTCCTCAAAGAGGTTGAGATGAATGAAAGTCATACAATGTTTTGTTTCTTCCTGAGAACATATAACTCCTAAGGAATCTGATGGGGATTGTACCTTCAGAACATTAGTGCTTAGAGATGTCTTTAAAATCTTGAGAAACATAAATACCTTGTAGGTTGGTTGGTTTGGTGTGTGTTTGTTAAGTATCTGAAGAGGCTTAAAACAGGAATATAAATAATATTTACATAAATATAAATAATGGTAAAATTTAAATAAAGAATTAGGCAGGCTATAGAAGGATAGATACAGGTACACTTGGAAAGACAACAGTGTGGTTTTATGTAGACTGGTATCTTTTTGTCCCTGTAGTGCCCATATAGTTTAGGGCCCTGCACAGTAAAATCTATTTGACAGTGACAAAGAGTGATTGAAATGAGCATGGCATGTGAATTATGACATTTGACTTGAGAGTCCAGACATTTAAACACTGCCACTCACAGCTTCCAAACCTTAAGCTGTCATGTATTTATTTCTTCATTTAATGGACATATTTACTATATAGTATAGAAAAGTCTAAAGAGGTATATGTGCTCATGTGACTGACTTTATACATGGGAGGAAGAGTGACCCTTTGAGCCAAAATGTATCAGATACTAACTAGATAGGGACTATAGATTTTAATTAAAATCCCAAAAATTAAAAATCAAATCAGTTTCTCTTTTATTGGTCAAATCCTCAATCCAATTATCTTTTTGCTTCAAAAAGTAATTAAAAATTCCACAGACAATAATCCCTTAAACCCAGGGAGTCAATGATTTTTTTAAGTGGAGGCCTTTGAAATCCAATCAAAGCTTGCATAAATGAAGAAAAGATGGAAAATTTATTTTTCCTTTCCTTTCTCTTTTAAAGTATAAATTCATTTATTCTACAGTCACTACTAATTTGTAAGGAAACATAAGAAATAATTTGTAAATTAGTCTACCTACTTTCTTGAAATCTCTTAGGGGAACCTTGCCCTGGATTTCCCACCAGCAGCTACATTGGCTGATGGTGTTTTCACAAGGATACAGCCAGCTGGATAATGACTGTTATCAAGGAAGAGGGACTTTGAGGGACATAAAGGATAGAAGTTGAAAAATAAAATTACATAAAAAATAGTCAATTTGTATTTTGCAAAAACTTCAACTCATGGATTTAATTTTGTTTACTTTGAGGTCTTTATTTACAGTACTTAGTTTTAAAGAAATGAAGGTCCTCATTTCCAAATTATAGCTATAGAAATCAAATCGAGTCATGGTTACATTACTCAGCCTTTTAGAAAATGGTGACTGGTATCACTTATATTGTTCTTCAAGTAGAAAATAAAATAACAATTGTATTATTTCCTTAATCACTCCCTCCTTTCTTCCCTCCCTTTTATACTACCTTCTCCCTTTTCATTTCTTATTTTAAAAATTAAATTAGTTTCTTTAGTGTTTTTTATTTGTTTAAATGGACAGATAAAGCTGTATATGTTTGACATGATGTTTTGAAATATTTACATTAAAGAAATACTAAATTGAGCTAATTAACATATGCATTATCTCACAAAGTTATTTTAGTGACGAGAACACTTAAAATCTACTCTCTTAGACTTTCTCAATAATACAATAAATGGTCATTTAACTATAGTCACTTTACACTAGATATCCTTGAATATATGACTTCTATATAACTGTAATTCTATATTGTTTGACCACTCTCTCCTCATCCTCCTTTCCCCCTGTGGGTACCGCTATGATACTCTCTACTTCTAAGAGATCAATTTTATATTCCAGATATAGGTGAGATCACTTGGTATTTGTCTTTCTGTGCCTGGCTTATCTCACTTAACATATTGTCCTCCAGGTTCATCAGTGTTGTTGAAATGACAGCGTTTTTGTCTTTTTAATGGATGAATACTATTCCATTGTGTATATATATCACATTTTCTTTATCTATTCATTTGTTGATTGACACTTAGGTTGATTCCATATCTTGGCTATTGTAAATAATTCTGCAGTGAAAATGGAAGTGCAGATATCTCTTTGACAAACTGATTTCATTTCCTTTGGATATATACCCAGTGGTGGTATTGCTGGGTCATATGGCAATTCTATTTTTTATATTTGAGGAAACATCATAGTGTTTTCCATAATGGCTGTGCTAATTTGCATTCCCACTGGCATGTGCAAAGATGCCTTTTTTTCCCCCCACATCCTTGACAATTCTTATGGTCTTATTGATTATAGCCATTCTAACAGGGATGAGGTGATAGTTCTTTGTAGTTTAATTTGCATTTCCCTGATGATTAGTGATGTTGAAAATTTTTTCACATACCTGTTGGCCATTTGTATGTCTTCTTTTGAGAAATGTTTATTTAGGTAATTCATCTATTTTTTAATCACATTATTTGTTGTTTTGCTTTTGAGTTGAGTTTCTTATATGTTTGGTATATTAACTCCTTATCAGATAAATGTTTGTAAATATTTCTCTTATTCCTTAGGTTGTTTCTTTATTGTTGATTATTTCCTTTGCTGCGCAGAAGTTTTTTAGTTCAATGTAATCCCATTTGTCTATTTTTTTGCTTTTGTTGCCTGTGCTTTTGAAGTTATATCCAAAAAATTGCTACCCAGACTAATGTCAAGGAGATTTTCCTTCATGTTTTCTAATAGTTTTAAGTTTCAGGTCTTAGGTTTAAGTCTTTATTCATTTTGAGTTGAAGTTTGCATATGGTGTGAGATGACGTTTAATTTCATTGTCCTGCATGTGGATATTCAGGATCATTTATTGAAGAGATTAGCTCTTTCCCCATTGTATGTTCTTGGCATCTGTGTCACAGATCAATTGACTATAAATGGGTCAATCTATTTCTAGGCTCTCTATAGTGTTCCATTGATCTGTATGTCTGTTTTTATGCCAGTATCATGATATTTTGAATACTATAGCTCTATAGTAGACTTCCATATCAGGCAGTCTAATTCCTCTAGCTTTGTTCTTTTTGCTTAAGATTACTTTGGCTATTCGGGGTCTTTTTTGGTTCCACACAAATTTAAGGAGTGTTTTTTCTCCTTCTGTGAAGAATGTCATTGGTATTTTTTATAGGGATTGCATTGAATCTGTACATTGCTTTGGGTAGTATGAACATTGTCTTCCTCAACTTCTCTCATAAAAGTATTATAGTTTCAGTGTAGAGATATTTCACCTTCTTGGTTACATTTATTCCTAAGGTTTTTTAATGCCATTGTAAATGAAATTGTTTCCTTGATTTATTTTTCATATTGCTTGCTTTTAGTGTATAGACATGTTACTAATTTTTGTATATTTATTTTATATCCTTCAACTTCACTAAATTTGTTTATTAGTTCTAACAGTTTTTTTTGATGGAGTGTCTAGGATTTTCTCTATATAAGATTATGTCAACGGTAAACAGGGACATCTTCCTTTCCATTTGATGTCTTTTATTTCTTTCTGTTGTCTAATTGCTCTGGCTAGAACTTCTAGTACTATGTTGAATAGAATTGGTTCCAGTGGGCACATTTGTCTTGTTCTGGATCTTAAAGGAAAAGCTTTCAACTTTCCTTGTTGAGTATGTCAGCTGTGGGTTTTTCATATATGACCTTTATCGTGTTGAGGTGCGTTCCTTCTGTACCAAATTTGTTGGGAGTTTTACTATGAAAGAATATTGGATTTTGTCAAATGCTTTTTTCTGCCTCTAATGAGATGGTCATTTTTTTTCCTTCATTCCGTTGATGTGTTTTACAACATTTATAGATTTGTGTATGTTTGACTCTCCTTGCATCCCTGAGATGAATACCACTTGCTAATGATGAATGATGTTAAAAATGTGCTGTTAGATTTGATTTGCCAGTGTTTTTTTTTGAGGACTTTTGCATTTAGGTTTATCAGGCGTATTAGCCTTTAGTTTTTTTTTTTCTTTTTGTAATGTCTTCATGTTCCTTTGGTATCAGGGTAAGCCAGCCTCATAAAATGAGTTTGAAAGTATTCCTTCCTCTTTAATTTTTTAGAAGAGTTTGGGAAGGATTGGTAGAATTTTTTTAATGTTTGGTAGAATTAACTGTGACGCCATCAGGTCCCAAGCTTTTATTTAATGGGAGATTTTAAAATTATTGATTCAATCTTCTTACTTATTATTGGTCTGTACAGATTTTCTGTTTCTTCATAATTCAGTCTCAGTAGGTTGCATGTGTCTAGAAATTTATCAGCTTCCTTTAGGTTATCCAATTTGTTGGCATATAGTTGTTCATAATATTCTCTCCTGTTCCTCTGTGTTTCTTTTGTATCAGTCATAATTTCTCTTTTTTCATTTCTGATTTATTTATTTAAGTCTTCTTTTTTCTCAGTCTAACCTTTGTCTAAAGTTTTATGAATTTTATCTTTTCAAAAAACCAACTCTTAGTTTCATTGATTTTTTTTTCTAGTCCCTATTTCATTTATTTCTTTTCTGATCTTTACTATTTTCTTTTTCTACTAACATTTGGCTTAGTTTGTTCTTGTTTTACTAGTTCCTTAAGATGTAATGTTATATTGTGTATTTGAGTTTTTCCTTCTTTTTTGATGTAGGCATTTATTGCTATACATTTCCCTCTTAGAACTGCTTTTGATGCATCTTATAAGTTTTGGTATTTTATGTTTCCATTTTTGTTTGTCTCAAGATATTTTAAAATTTCCCTACTATTTTCCTCCTTGAACCATTGGTTGTTCAAAAGCATGTTGATTAATTTCCATGTATTTGCAAATTATCTGAAGTTTTTCCTGGTAATTTAGTTTGTTTTGATTACTTTATAAATATTGAACCTTGTCAGGAAAAACTAATTTGTGAGATACAGTTGGTTTAGTGCGCTCCTTAAGAAAGTGGTTCATTTTGACAGCCTACTTAATACTTTGTTTACTCTTAAAACTGTTGGTCTGCAGCTTCCACATGTCCATAGCAGCTGCAGGACTGGAGTTTAGCTCTTAGAGGAGAGAGTAGAGAATGCAGACCTTTTTAACTGGGGAAGCTTGATGCAGTCTGGAAGGCTGACAGAGACTGTACTTTCCTTTCTACTCCAGGGCCTTACGATAGCATGGATGAGGCTGGATTAACAGAGTGACAGAAAACACTTCCTTGTTTTGTCTGCTCAGAAGTGCTTGTTTCCTGCTCACTGTTTGTAGTCTTGCATTTGATTGTCCCAGATTAAAATATAATATGACAACATTTGGAGGGAAATACATGTTGCATTTTTCTTTCCAAGATTCCCAGTTTTACATTTACCTGCCCTTCCCTTACCCCCACAAAAGACCCTAGTTATTCTAAGTTAATAAATGTGTAGGGATCAGTCTTGATGGCATGTCTTCATGCTTACATCTTTCCTGGGTTAATGTGTTATGGGAGAAAAGATTGATTTTTTAACAATGGTTCCTGGAGTCTTTGCATATCTATCTGAAAACATCTCTAATGTTGAAGGTCATTGCTTGTGCAGAAGGTGATTGGAGTGTCAAAGCCCACGAAAACCTGAAGGTGTCTCATTAATTATTTATTCATTCAACACATATTTGGGCATATATCATTTTATTGTGGTTCACTTTATTGTGTTCCACAGATACTGCCTTTTTCTTTTAAAATACAAATTGAAGGTTTGTGGCAATCCTGCATTGAGCAAGTCTATTGGTGCCATTGCCATTTTTCAACAGCATGTGCTCACTTTTGTCTCTGTGTCAGCACTGTCTAGCAATAAAGTATTTTAAAAGCAAGTATGTACATCTTTTTAGACATAATGTATAATTGATAGATTATAATATCAATATAGTGTAAGTATAATTTTTATATGCTCTGGGAAATAAAATTTGCGTGACTTATTTTATTGTGGTATTCACTTTATTGGGATGGTCTGTAACTAAACCCACAGTATCTGTGAGGTATGCCTGTATATTAAATGCCCACTCTGTGCCAGGCACTGTCATAGGCAAACTATTATTAAAGGAAGAATCCAGGTTAGAAGAACTCTGTGTAGAAGATGACTTGAGTCCAATGTCAGGAATTGTTACTCTTATGGGTTGTCTACCTAGGTGATTTTTAGTTATCTACTTGGATTCCCACCCGGGATTTGGTGACTTCTGTGTATGGTTAAACATCTTCAGTGGTACATGAGGACCACAGTTATGAACTACCAGATTATTCCCTCATTCCTTGGTTTGTATTTATTACATTTCTTTTTTTTTTTTTTTTTTTTTTTGAGGCAGGGTCTTACAATGTCACTCAGGCTGGAATGCAGTGGCACAATCATGGCTCACTGCAGTCTTGACCTCCCAGGCTCAAGCAATCCTCCCACTTCAGCCTCCTGAGAAATTGGAACCACAGGGAGATGCTACCATGCCTGGTTATTTTTAAAAATTATTTGTGGAGATGAGGTCTCTCTATGTTGCCCAGGCTGGTCTTGAACTCCTTGGCTCAAGCCATCATTGTGCCTTGGCCTCTCAAAGTGCTGGTATTACAGGTATGAGCCACCATGCCTGGTCTAATTTCTTTAAAAAAGTGCCTTCAGACAAAAGGCCCTATCTTTAAAATTTCAGCCAAATCCAACATCAGCACAATACAAGACAACTTTAATAACACAGAACAGTGTTTAGATTAATCTAAGAAACACAGATCTCCTACTTGCAGCTTCACTGAAAATCCCCATGTATTTAATTTCAATTAGGAATTCTATTACAAAGCCTCTCTACCACCCTCTGGGGCTGTACTGAGAAACAGAATTGAAGATCCAGACCAGGAGTTTGGGAAGGATACACAGGTCCTCCTCAGTTTCCAGTGGGATTATGTCCTGATAAATCCATCATAAATTGAAAATATCATCAGTTGAAAGTACATTTTTGACTTAATAATATTTTCAGCCTCTGATGGGTTTAGTCTCATCTTAAGTCGAGAAGCCTACCAAATGACTATCCCTTTTGCACCATAGTAAAGTAAAAAAATTGTAAGTCAAACCAGGGTAAATTGGGGACCATCTGTATATCTTTCTTCTCATAATGATAGTAAGGAGTAAAGTTGCCATCAATTGAGTACTTGCTAAATGCCATATGTAAATTGTGATGTCACCAATTCTCAAATCAACTTTCTAGGTTTGGAGAGGAAAAGAAGAAAGCCATTCTAGAAGCCAGATAGGTTTGCTTGTTTGTCTTTCTGTATGTAGATTTGTTTGATACTTACCCAGAGCTCTAGTGAAGTAACGTTGTGTTTGGACAAACAATAGGCAAAATATGTCAAGATTATGTAACTAGATGCAGTTATGGTTCCACTGGTCTAAAATCACAAAAGCTGAATTTCCTTTTTCTCAGCCATTTGGTGGTGTTGCTTGATTTATTTTTAAACTATAAGATCAAGAAGAGAATCCCAAAGATTGTTAGGTTCACTATCAAACCCCAAATGCCTGATGAAAACTAGAATACCTAGAGTCAACAATATCTGGAAATAGGAATCCAAACCAAGAGTTAATGTAGCTCTCACAAGTAGTACTTGGGGAGTATATTAAGATTTTGTGCATGCTCAAGTCCTTGTGTTTGTGGGCTAGCGATTAGAAATATTCTTATTTATTTGTTCAAAGTATCAGCAAGATGGTCCTTAGAGTTTATTGCTAATACCAAGGCAGCTGCAAAAAAAGTCACATCAAGATGAAACTGCTGATGATTATTGAAATAAGTATTATGTGTGTAATATATCTCATCTCC